>NW_025791808.1:0-137818 GCF_000001405.40 Homo sapiens | reverse complement strand
AAGCTTAAGAAATTAATTACTGCTCACCTTCTATACGCCTTTCATAATGACTTTAGTCTGTTCCTTTCAGCAGCCCACATAAGCCACTCTACATGATCTTCCTGTTATGGGGAGTTTCCAGTTTGCATTGCCTTCTCCCATAAGTCCACCATACCATGCCTGAGGATTTATGGCAACACAGTCCCAGAAGACCCATGATGACAACTTAGAAGGTAAGGAACTCCCCACCCACCAAGCCTAGAACCCACGTTTTTTAGTCCCATTGTTGGGTTGACCTTCTTAGCCATGTGACATCTGTTCCAGGTCTCCCTCCTGCTGTGCTCCCATCTCTAAGGGTGGAAACTCACCAGCACTGTTGGCCTCCGACTCCAGCAGGTGGATGTCATTGCAGTCCGCCAGTGAGTGCTCCAGGCAGAGCTGCAGGAAGCGGGCCTGGGTACGGGTGACCCGTTTCAGAAGTGACAGGAGGGCCACTGTCTGCTCACACTCATTCCAGCCTTTGAACCAGCCAGCGAGGATGCCCACCTGGTCTCGGAACATCATGGTGCCGGGCCTGGGGCCAGGGTCGGGGGACGGCGGTGGCGAGGGCCAGCGCCGTCACATGGTCCCGGCTCTGGCCTCCTGTTACCTTTCCCCTGAGGGCCAGGGCTTAAGGACGTTTCTGGGCGTGGTGGCAACGGTTGTTGGGGGAGGAGGAAGCCTGCTCACATGGGGGGAGGTCTTGGTCCAGCCACGCCTCTCCAGTTTCCTGAAAAAGGAAGCAAAGGGGTCAAACAGAAAGAAGGGGCTGAAACTTGCCTGGTGAGTGTGGGTTGAGGGGGCATGAAGGCCTCATGCCTTTCTCTTTCAGGGTACTTGCTCTGCTGAGCTCCTGGAAGAAACATGAAGCCAACACCAGATATTAAAGCTACTTTCACCCAAATCTTCAGATCCAGAGAAAAGGCGTGACTGGGACTTAGATGCCTATCCCAGAGACCAAGGAGATGTTGGCCCTCACACCTGGCTGTCATAGTGTCAAAGGAAGCGGATTTAACACAGAAAATATATTGGAAAAATTTTTCAGAAGTGGGAAATAGTAGGCTGCAAATTATGAGAAAAGATATGAATTGATGGCGATCTGGCCCAAGGTGACATGACTAAGCACAGCACATCTCTGACCTTGCTGGTTTCTGGCCACCTTCTCTGAGAGCTGGGCAGTGTGACTCCTAACCTACTGATAGGACTCCAAGGGCTCTTTAAATTACTTCAAGCTAGACCCACAATGCTGGGTAGAGGATGGATGGTCGGGTAGTGACCCTGGTGGAGATCTCAGGTATGCAGCCAGCCATCTGATTAGTAACTGGCTGGGTATCTATCAGGTGTGGGCATGGACAAAGGGCTTTTCAAAGATCACCAACAGGCTGAGGGAATCTCACCCTCTCTAACCCAGCTTCCCTGACTCTGGAAAAGGCACAACTCTGATTTATCAGATTTTACCCATCTCTATTCTGAGGTGAATCGCTCCCTGCCCTCTTAATTCCCCTGAAGACTCCAAACCTAAACTCTCTGGTTGGGAAGTCCCCGACTTCCAGAGATGCCAGCTTGTCTCAGGCTCCTCCTGGAAGCAAAGAAAATGCCAACCTGAGGGGAAGGGGACAGATCAAAAGTCAAAAACTCACAAGCTACAAAGTGTCCAAATTCCCCTCTTAGGCAGGAACTAAAGAAAAGTTATTTCAACTGGGCAAACAACAGACCTATTTTTCAGGTGGTTGGTTTCTGGACACCACTCCGAAGGCTTTTTCTAAGTGTCTCGAGCTCCAGATCTCCACTCAACATTTCTTCCATCTGTCTCTCTTGCAACCAGTGCCCTTGGCTCTATCCTCAAACCACATTCAGCTCCATCCCCCTCTGGCTGCCAAAGGACTAAGGTTCCCCGGACTGAGAACTTCATACAAAGACCCATTGAACCTACTGGGCTCAGGTCTAAGGGAGCTACTCACATCTCTCTGAACTTCCGTGCGCTTGCTGAGGAGGGCTGTGGGGTGCATTAGGCAACAGCTGTGACTTGCCTCACAGATCCCCTGTGGGACCCCTAAACAGACTGAACTGGCCTGGTTGCCAATCCCTTTGGATGTAAGAAGCAGGAAAGGTATGAGGGAAAATGAAACCTTGCTCCAAGTTAAACAAGCGTCCAGCAATTTTTTTTAAAGGGGAAATCAGATGTCACCTCCCTGGCCTAAAATTCTCCAATGACTTCCCATTGCACTTAAATAAAATCTAAATAAGGTCAAGCATGGTGGCTCTCACCTGTAATCCCAGCACTTTGGGAGGCTAAGGCAGGTGGATCACTTGAGGTCAGGAGTTCAAGATCAGACTGGCCAAAGTGGCGAAATCCCGTCTCTACTAAAAATACAAAAATTAGCCGGGCGTGCTACTGCACGCCTGTAATCCCAGTGACTTGGGGGGCTGAGGGACGATAATCGCTTGAAGCTGGGAGGCGGAGGTTGCAGTGAGCTGAGATCATGCCACTGCACTCCAGCCTGGGTGACAGGGAAACTCTGCCTCAGAAAAAAAGAAAAAAAAATTTTAAACAAATTCCAAACATCTTATCTTGAACTACCGAGCCCTATAGGACTCCTGTGGCCACTCCAACCTCATCTTGTACCAAATTATTTCTTATTCAGTGGAACTGTCTTCCCCTAGAAGCTGGCTCCTGTCATTCAGGTCTCAGCTCATTGTCATTTCTTCAGAGAGAGCTTCCCTGACCATCCAATCTCAGGAGTTACTCCTCCAATTATATTAACACTATTTCATTCCTATATAATTTGGCACTCTCAGGTATCATCTTATTTGTTTCTCTCTACTGACCAAAACGCAAGCCATACAGTCAGCCAGTGCCTACAACAGTGCCTGGCACGTAGAAGGTGCTCAATATATATTTATTGAATAAATAAATAGCTATAGAAGGTGAATGTGGAAGCCACACTTGGGATTTCTATAGCCCTAGGGGGGAAGAAGATAGAAGGAACAGCTCATAGGATGGTAAAGGGATTTGAAAACCTTGTTTTAAGAAAAAAAAATTGAAGGCACTGAGATTTTCCTCTGGGGAAGAGAAGACTCAAGGGGAATGGCATAACTGACTTTGAATATCTGAAGAGGTAGCACGCAGAAAAGAAATTATATTTGTTCTTTTACTCTAGAGGAGAAAAGCAGGGTAGATGACTCCAAGGGAGTGACAACATGGGATAGAGGAAATGCTGAAAGTCAAGAAAATTCAGTTCTAGTCCTGCCCAAGCCACTGATTCACTTTGATCACGGAGCTAGTCTGTTCTCTTCTCTAGAATGTAGGATAAGGAGCGGGACTGGGTGAGACATGACAAATAGGTTTTACCTCACAGGCTAACTCCAATCGATTGGTAGTGGCTGCCTGGAGCACTGCGATGAGAAGAATCCTGAAGAAATGAATGGGAATATCCATTAATGGGGAATGATTAATAAACTGGGGCAGATCCCACATTGTATGATATAACGTATCTATTAAAAACATGCCTAATCTGGCCAGGTGTGGTGGCTCACTCCTATAATTCTAGCACTTTGGGAGGCTGAGGCAGGCAGATCACTTGAGGTCAGGAGTTTGAGACCAGCCTGGCCAACATGGCGAAACTCCATCTCTACTAAAAATATAAAAATTAGCCGGGTGTGGTGGCGGGCGCCTGTAGTCCGAGCTACTTGGGAAGCTGAGGCAGGAGAAACGCTTGAACCCGGGAGGTGGAGGCTGCAGTGAGCCGAGATTATGCCACTGCACTCCAGCCTGGGTGACAGAGCGGGATTCCATCTCAAAAAGAAAACAAGAAAACAAAAAAACAAAGCTATATACAATGTTTGATCTGTAACTACTTGGAGGGGTGTCCATAAGCTACACAGTAATATGTACAATATAATGCCATTTTTTAAATTAAAAAAAAGCCACATACAAAACCCCTTATATATCTTATATATGAATATTTATGTCTATATGTGTATAAATGTATAGAAGAATACACCCTCGGCTGCTAACACTATCTTGGAGAAACAGGGGGATTATTAACACTATCTTTATATAACTTTGTACTACTTCACTAGTTGCAAGTGAATACATATTACTTTTGTAATTTTTAAAAAAGAATTTAATTAAAAACAATTTTAAGGCAGCATACTTCCTGACTCAGTGAGAAAGAGTGCTGTGATTAATTATCAATGTTTGCCCTGGATGCAGGGTGGATGAGTGGTAGCTCACGCGCCTAAAAAAATCGGTTTTCCTTCCCAGCTCCAGCATTTTGTGGCTTTCAGTCCCAAAGAGGCAGCAGCTGCTTCAACATAAGGAAGAATTTTAAAATAACGCATCTGTCCAAGAATGGAACTGGCTGCCATGTGAGGAGGTAATAAGCTCCCTGGCTGCTGGAAGTGGTCAAGCGGAGGCTGGATGAACATCCCTCGGGAGTGGGAGGGATTCCTTCACTGGGTGGCAACTCATAAGATAGAAGGACATGTTACTATTTCAGAGGGAACATTTGTGACAGGAGGTTTGATATACCAACAGCATTTACAGCAAAAAAACGACCAAATCCACAAACAGACCAAAGTTGTGCACACTCTTTCCCATAAATTCTTTTACTGGGTTGTTACTTTTCCTAAGCAACAGCACTGTTCCCCCCCTCCACCCACCCAATAAGCTGCTGACTAAACATTAATCCAGCTTTTCCCCCCAGGCCAAACGATAGAAGCAAAGCTTTCGGACATAATAGGGTCTCAAACATGATGCTTACAAGGCCAGGCTTTGAACAAAGCAGGCCAACTGGGACTATGGTGAGTTGGAAAGTCCACACCCGGTCAAAAGGGAGAAGTCACTATCCACCTCTTATCAACTGCTACCATGAAGGAATGTGGGTCCAGTATTGTTACGTCTTAGGTTTTTTTTTTTTTTTTTTTCCCCTAAAGAGGAGCCAGATATCTGAATTTTAAAGTAAAATCCCCCCCTATTTTCAAATGTGGGAAACGAATCACATTGAAACAATAGTGAACAACTACACAGAAGAAGACATACCTGTGGTCCTTGGAACAGAAGAGCACAAACTAGAAAAAGACCAGAAGTCTGCTAACTATCCCTCCCTTGGGCCTCTCTGGTTTATACCTTCAAGCCACCCCACTGCTCAGGGAACATGACTGGTGGAGAAGATCTAGTGATGGAGGATGATTCTGACAGTCTTCAGTAAATACTGGAGGCTTTAGTGAAACAGTTACTTTTAAGATTTCACTGTTAAAAAAAAATCATCCCTGAAGGTAGGGTTCCTATGTCTTCTGGATGAGAGAAGGATGCTTTGTGTTCGGTCTAGATGTTAACTGGAGAGGACTGGATGGCCCTCTTCCATTAAAGGGCCAGAGGCCGCCTGCTACTTTCTATCCCATGTGCTTGGCTGAAGTGACAGAGGGAGACCTGGGTGAGGCATCTCACTGTGGCAGCATCTTACTGTATCCATTTCCATCTTCTAGTATCAACACCCTGGGTTCCCCTTGGAGAAGGAACTGTCTTTCTTGGCTCCAGAAGTGGACATGGGGTAAAGCCTGGCCAAGGATAGTCCTCTCTGGATTTTTGCTGGAACTACTAAGGAAAATAAGTTCTTGGTTAGGGTTGCTCAGATTACACATCGTCTCATGATGTCACCAGTTGCCACCTCTTCTATTTCACGGTGGAAGCCTGCTTCAGAATGAAACTAACAGATGACAGCAAAGTCAAGAGATGGGGGAGGGGGAAAGGGAGATCTGTTCACATGATTTAAAACCTAGATGCAGCTAGCCTGAAGCCTCCCCCTTGTGGCCCACTCTTTTCAGTTACATAGATGAATAAATTCGTTTTTGACTTAGGCCAGTTTGAGTTGGGTTTCAGTTAAAACTGAAAGAGCCTTGACAATTCCCATGCAAAACAGAATGCACTACTGGTCTGGTCTCTTTGTCCTCATGTGACCAAAAATGACTCCTTGCCTTTGAGGAAAAACACAAGAGGGGAGCCTCTATAACAGAAGTCTCTCCAACAGCCCAGCAATATTGCCACCATACTTGAAGAGGTCCAAGTGATCTTCTTGGGAAGCCCCTACCACCTCCAGAGGTGGGAAATGAGGTTAACAAAATGGCTAAGAGGGCTGGGTGCAGTGGCTCACGCCTGTAATCCCAGCACTCTGGGAGGCATGGGCGGGTGGATCGCTTGAGCTCAGGAGCTCGAGACCAGCCTGGGCAACACAGTGAAACCCCGTCTCTACAAAAATTACAAAAAAATTAGCCAGGCGTGGTGGCGTGCACCTGTAACCCCAGCTACTTGGGAGACTGAGGCGGGAGAATCACTTGAGCCCGGGAGGCAGAGGTTGCAGTGAGCCAAGATCGTGCCACTGCACTCCAGCCTGGGCAACAGAGTGAGACCCTGTCTCAAAAAACAAAAACAAAACAAAACAAAAGCCAAAGGTTCCAGATCAGCAGCCTGGGCAACATGGCAAAACCGTTTCTACAAAAAATCCAAAAATTAGCTGGGCGTGGTGGTGTGCACCTGCAGTCCCAGCTACTTTGGGAGGATCACTTGAGTTCTGGAGGTCGAGGCTTCAGTGAGCTGAGATCATGCCACTGCACTCCCACCTGGAGAAAGGCTGGGCACGGTGGCTCACGCCTGTAATCCCAGCACTTTGGGGGGCCGAGACGGGCGGATCACCTGAGGTCAGGAGTTCGAGACCAGCCTGGCCAACACGGTGAAACCCTGTCTCTACTAAAAATACAAAAAATCAGCTGGGCGTGGTGGCAGGCGCCTGTAATCCCAGCTACTCAGGAGGCTGAGGCAGCAGAATCGCTTCAACCTGGGAGGTGGAGGTTGCAGTGAGCTGAGATTGCGCCACTGCACTCCAGCCTGGGGGACTGGAGACTTTGTCTCAAAACAAAAACAAAAACAAAAACAAAAAAATGCTGAGATGTTCCAGGACAAACTGCCCTCTGGGCTTCTTCTCTGGCCCCAAACAGTGAGAAAAGGCCCATATGCCCATAAACAGTGCCTCTGGAGTCCAGCTCTCTTCATTCAGAAGCAGGATGGTGGAGTTAGTCAGACCTGGCTTAAATCCTGGCTCTCCTGTTATACTTACTTGCTGTATTGACTATGACAAGTAACTCTGTTTCTTCCTCAATGAAGCTTGTTAGAAGAATTAAATGAAACAATGTATTTAAAAATACCGCGCATGATGCTTTTTTCCTCCTCTATACTTCATTTCAATAGCAAGCATGATGCTTAGCATGTCTTCATACATCATACATTGTCAGGCCCTTTGCCAACAGCTTTCCACAGATAAGCACATTTGATCCCCAAAACTCTATTTCAAAAATATATAACATACATATATGAATATATTATCATTTTACAGATGGAGCAACTGAGGCACAGAGAAGTTAAGTCACTTTGCCCAAGACTGTACACCAAGCTGAGATTTTCAAGGCCAGGCAGTCTGGCTTCAGAGCTCTTGCTTGCTCTTAACAATGCAAGAAAGCTGGGCATGGTGGCTCACATCTGTAATCCCAGCACTTCGGGAGACTGAGGTGGGCAGATCGCTTGAGCCCAGGAGTTTGAGACCAGCCTGGGCAACAAGGTGAAAGTTGGGCCTAAGGGCCCTTTAATACCAACATCTCTGGATGAATAAGGGGATCCTATCTGCCTTCTTACCCATTCCTAGTTCTTTTTACAGCACGACCTAGGCCTTTGAGAACTTACACTTCATGAACAAGGTAACAGGCTAGTTACCTAGGGTTAACTCACTTTCATAACCTGAGAAGAGACTGTCAGAAGCCAAGGGAGCACAACTTCTCTTATAAGAATCAACCATTATTTCCAGAAACTCCTGAAATACGTACACAAAACATGTACACCACTGCATTAGCAAAGAATGAGCTTTTTGTATGAATGGTGCTGGGGAAGGGAGGGAGAGGAGAGGAGAAGCCAGGCAGGGCCTCCTGGAAGATAAGTACAGTATGGGGAGCTCCGGTAAACTCTGGAATAGAGAGGAAGCTAGCATTCTTCCTCCCACTCCTAAATGTCTTGACACCCCTTCCCCCCGAAAAGTTTATTCTCTGCTTCCTTTCCCTTCTTTACACTTGTTTTCTCTCACTTAGGCATGTAATTAACTCCTGTAGATTCAATCATCACCTCTCTGTGGACAACTGAGACATTTTTTTGAGTCATCTTTGACTTCTTCCATTTCCCAAAGACCCAGTCATTAGGTCTTGATATTTCTTTTTTCTTAATGTCAGCTACACATGCCTTGCTTATCTTTCCCCAAACCTAAGTGGCTCTAGAACCAGACTGCCGGGTTGGAAATATAAGCCTGCCACTTACTACCTGTGTAATTTTGGGCAAGTGATTTCACCTTGCCATGCCTGTTTTGTCATCTGTAATGTGGGTGTAATAATAGTACCTACTGAGAAGGAAGACAGAAAATAATAATAGTGCCTACTCTCATAGAGTTGTGAGGCATAAATGACTTGGCTATTATCATTATTCTAGATTCCTCTCTTTCTCTAATCCCATCATCAAGTCCTGTTTTCTGTACACCCAAAATATATCTGCTTCTCTACATCTTCACTACCACCACCACCACCACATTCATGTCACCATTTCTCATCTGGACAAATGGATTGTCTCCTAACTTTCCTTCCTGATTCTGTCCTGACCCTCTGTTTTCCTCCCAGAAACCAAAGTGAGCTTTCTAAAAAAATTAATCAGATCATGTCGCTGTCTTGCTTTTAAAAACTCCCTTCTAATAGTTTCCCAATCCCCTTAAATGAAAATAGAAACTCCTTACTGTGGCCCTTAGGCTGCAAGTAATCTGGCTTCTGTCAGCCTTTCCAACCCTCACCCCTCTCCCTCACTTAGGCTTTAGCCACACTGGTCCTTGCGATTCCCTGAACATATGGCAGGGCTTTTGCACCTGCTGACCTCTCTGCCTGAAATGCTCTTCCCCGGACCGTCACAAGGTTGGTTCCTTCTCATCAATCAGATCTGGGCTCACCTGTGCCCCATTCTGCCTCATCTGCCCAGTAGGAAGGAGTCTATGATATCATCATCAAGAGATGTTTCTTCAAAGGCTGCAGCTCTTCCAAAAACACCTAGACTGTAAGATCCATGAGAGAAGGGAAGACTGTAGCTATATTATTCATTGCTACATCTCCAATTCCTAGCATAGCACCTGGTACATAGCAGGCCCTCAATAAATATCTGTGATAAATTTCCCCACCTTGCAGAGGTCCTTTTTCTGCATGTAACAATGCTTAGATTAGAATGTTCCACTCCCAGATCTTCCCACAACTGGTGCCTTCTCATCTTTCTGGTTATCAGGCTCAACTGTCACCTCCCAAAAGAGGCCTCTTCTGATCCCCCTGTCTACTACAGTGGCCACTCCCACCCTCTCTTTCACACTGTTTTATTTCCTTCACAGCATGAATCACACTCTGATTTTTTTGTTTCCTCCCCCCATCAGAATATAAATTCCATGAATTTCAGGACCTTGAATGTTTTATTCACTGCTCTGTCTCCAGTACCTAGAATAGTGCCTCCATGCATTAATGAATGAGTGCAGGCTGGAGATATTTGAGACTTGCATACTCCATACACTGCTGTTCTGTAACTTGCCCTGAACCCGCTTCTATTCAACAAGTTTACACTAAAACAAACAAAACAAAACTCCACTCACAGCAATCCTACTTAACTCTCTTCCAAAGTTCTGTGTCTTGGAAACCTTAAACTGTGGTGAGGGTATTGCCATTACTCCTGGATTCTGCTCCCCTGAGGCCACCATCAAGCCAGGCTGATCACCTCATATCACCCGTGATATCCCAAAGCAAAGTGTGGTTGAGTCAGACCAGCCACAAGCTCTCTCTAGACCCAAACAATCACAGAGCAGAGAATGACTGCGGCTGGGGGACAGTGGGGAGGGAGATTGCCATCACTGCTCAGAAAGTTCATCGGATGGAATCACAGGCCTATTTGGCTCAGCAAGCCAGAGACTGAGTTGCAGGGTACAGAACCCAAAATATGTTTCTAAGGATCTTCTGGCATAATCTCACATCTATTCAAGGAAGAAACTATTTTCAAACTGGGACTCTCAAGAAAGAGTTCTCTTTCCACTAAGGCTTTCCAAGGAGGTAGGGTTAAAACCTGGGGCTGCTGAGGACCATATTTGTCATCCAAAGCAGAAGCTTGTTGAGGATGAAGCTAACTCAGTGGAGAAATGGGAGGAGATGACTGAGAAAATTATTTGAACACCTGGATGCAGCTAGGTCTGAAGCCAACCTAGCTCTGGACTTTCCAGTAACAAAAGCCAATTAATCCCCCACTTTTTTCATTAAACCACTTTGAGCTAAGGTTCTATCACTTTATGTTTTTAGAGTTCTGGCTGATATGAGCTTTTTTTTTATTTTATTGTTTTTCTAACATTGCAATTATGGGCAAGACATTGTTCTAAGTACTTTACATGTATTAACTTATTTAATCCTCGTAACAATTCTATGAAGTAAAGTATCATTATTTCCTTCATATTTTTAGCTGTGGAAACTAAAAGACCAGGGAAGTAACTCGTCCTAGGGTACAAAACTGGTGAGTGGTAATGTGGGATACAAATCCTGTCCAGACCCAGGGTCTGCATACCTAACAACTACTGCCCCATTGCAGCCAAACCTATCTTAACTAAAAATCAAACTTTTTGACCCAAGGCACTACCATCTTGGAATGGACAGTGCCCACAGACCCTCTATTAGTCCTACCTGTTCTTAATCTCATCATATGCAAAATGAGGATAATGGTAGTTTACTTACCTCATAGGGTAGGTAAACTCCTACCTCCTATGAATACATGTAAAGCACTTAAACAGTGCCTGGCAGTTAGAAAGCATTCAAAAACCAGTGGTCATTATTATTATTACTCTGTAGGTCACTAAAGTGCAGCTGGCAAATACAATGCAAATGGAGGAAATCTGTCTTCTTTCATCTCTATCTTTTGGGTGAAGAGAAGAGATACCATGGGTGAGAGATGAGGAGGCTTTGTCTTTGACCCATTGCTTAAGCTGTTTCCTCTGCCTGGGGGCACCATCATTGTCCCAACTCCCATGGAACACTATCCAGCCCAAATACCACCTTTTCTGTGAAGTCTTTCCAAATAAAAGGCTCCCTCTCACTGCTGAATTTCTACAGCATATAATTTGTACCTCATTTTCTGCTCTGTACATGCCCAAGCCCCCTACTGGTATTGTGAGCTCCCTGAAGGCAGGCCCCAATATTTACCCTGGGGTCTCTGTTTCCCCTTCTGGGCCCTAGAAACAGAATCCCTTGAAAAAATGCCAAGAGCTCTGTGGAGGCTCCAGACTTAGCAGCTGAGAGGGGCTGCTAAGAGAAGCCAACCAGGACGGGTGAGGCAGGTCACCAGGCAAAGGACTTGGGGTAGCTCAGAATCAGGAAACAGCACAAAGAAAGTCCCTAAGACAGGAGCAAGTAGGGCAGGAGTAAAGGCAAAGGGTGCTGTGTGGAGAAAAAAAAGGGAGGTGAGAGGAGAGGAGGGGGCAGGGAAGGTGTACTAAACCTGAATGAGGAGTGAGATCTGAGGAACTTGGAGATTTCTGGCCAAATGCAGAAGGAAGAGCTGCTTATTCTCCAGTGATTTCCAATAACTTACAAAGAGTAGATCCCACCTTGTGGGATTCAGAGAAGAACAAGACACATCCCGTACTTTCAGAGTTCCTAGTCCAGTGAGGGTGAGTGGACAAGTACATTAAAATCTACAAGGTTGAAGGTGAGTGGTGTTCTAAGAGGTACAATGGAGGTGGAGGGGTCTTGGCAGTAAGACACAGAATGAAAAGACCTCCTGAGGGTGCCTCAAGGGGAGGGTGCCTATGTGAAGAAACAGATGGACAAGAAGAGATGGATATGTGTGTTCAAAGAAGCAGCAATTTAAAGAAGCACCAAAGGCTGGTAGTGGGCTGGAGGGGTAGCCAGAAAGAGAAAGCACTGAGGAAGATCTGAAAAGAAACCATTCAAAAGTAGAATCGGAAATAACTGCTCAGAGGATGGAGTAACCTTGTGGAGAAGCCAAGATCCTTTCAAGGTAGGTAAGAAATCTTTCTGGAGGATGGGTACTTCATAAAGGGGATTCCTAGGAAACAGGAAAGCAGCAGTGGGCAGTAGGGCACAGAGGCATACCCTGAGGCATCTTTCAGGGGGCTTTTAGTGAGGAAAAGGAAATCCTCCTAAAGGGCACAGGTTCTCAAACTTGCGTGTGCATCAAAATGACCAGGAGGGTTTGTTAAAAACTCTTGATTGCTGGGCCCTGCTCCCAGGTTTTCAGTTTCAGTAGATCTGAGTGGGATTCAAGAATGTGTATTTCTAACAAATGTGGCTGCTGCTGGGCCAGGAACCACACTGAGAACCACTGCTATAGGGGAAGGGATTATTTGGTGAGGAGGTCCTCAAAGGGGAGAAGGAAGAAGGCTTCTGAAAGGGAAATGGGGAGAATCCTAAGTCTCTAAGGAGGGTGTTAAGGGTCTCTTGATCTCTGAAGGGAAGAGGGGTCTATGAGCATGGCACCTAAGAAAAATGGTCTGAAAGAAAGATCTCGGAGCACTGGGATTTCAAGGGGGCGGGGAAAGGTGTCTCTCAAGAATCTTTACAAGGAAACATAGAGGCTCTTGGGCAACGAGTCTGGAGAATGTTGGGGACCTCTGAAGGGATAATGGGAAAAGGGGGCCCCCTGAGAAAGGTCTCTGAGTTGACTTCAGAGGAAAGAGAATGGGGAAATGAGAGGGTGTAAATAGCAATTCTAAAGTTAGTGGGTAAATCTGATAGGGTCCTAAATAATGTTTCTTGGGGATGTCAGAAGTGGAATCTGAGGGAAAGTTCTGAGGAAGTCTCAGGAAGCGCTGGGAGTGGGTGGCTGATGGAGGGCAATTTGGGAGAAAATTCTCTAAAAAGTGTCTGAGGAAGGTGTGGTCTTCTGAGACTGGTCCTGGAGTGGGATGACAGAGGGATGTTTTTAGGAAAAACTCTTCAGAGATCTCAGTTGAGGAGAAAGCTGAGTAAAGTCTCCAAAAGAGTATATGGGGAAGGCGGGGTCTTCTGAGAGAGTGTCAGAGGAGAGGGTTTTTCAGAAAGAATTATAGGACTTTCTCAGAGCAAGAGCTCGGGTTATTTTGGGGGAAAATTAGGTGTGTGTGAGGGTCTTCTTCAAGGGATTCTAGAGGATTTAGGGGACCTGTGTGAGCAAGTTCAGGGAGGGATATCTCTAGAAAAGTCCCTTAGTAAGGCAGAAGTATTGATTCAAGGGGTTCTGGTGGTGTCAGGAAGGTCTTGGAGGGATTTCAAGAACATACGTCAGGAGGGCTCCAGGGGGTCGCTGGGGTCTCTAAGCTGTGTGTGTGTGTGGGGGGGGGGGGTCCTGAAAACCTGCATATCAGAGGGGTCACCAAGAGAATCTTACGGTCTTACAGGGGTTGTGAGGAGGATCTTCAGAAAATTCCTCTAAAACCGGTCTGCAAGGGGGGATTCTGAGGTGTTAGTGAAGGGGAGTTCTACGGGATCTGAGAGAAAAACCATGAGGAAAGTTTTCAGGATCCTTAAACAATTTTTGGAGCGTGTGATGTGGGGGACTGGAAAAGATGTGGAGTATGTAAAAGGGATTTTGGAAGAAGCTTTTGGAATATGATGCTGAGAGTCCTCTGGAGATTTCAGGCAATTGCTGGAGATTTTTAGAATGAGTGGGGGTGGGGAAGGGGATCCCGGTGAAGATCACTGGGCTACATGAGGGTGATCTCTAGGGCATTTTAGGGTGGTGAGACCAGGGGGAGACAGGAGGCCTCTGGGGGAGACTTTTGGGATCTGTGGAAAGGTCCAGAGGGATACGTGAAGGGGGAGTGTGTATGAGAGATGGTTGCAATACGGTGGGGAGGGGGATGGAGTCTTCTAGGTGAGTTTTTGGGATCTGGGGGCATTTCACAAAGTCTGTGAGGAAGATTTATTTTGGGGATATGGGAAGGAGATCTTCAGGGAAGATGATCACGGTCCGTCGGGGGCATTCTGAAGGACTTCTGGGAGGGGGAATCAGAAATGCAGGGGGTATGAGCGGAAAATCTCCAAGGAGGTTTCTGGAATGGGGTAAGTGGGAGGGAAAATTCTTAGGATCCGGGAGGGGGAAGTCGGGTGAGCCTGTTGGGCTGTGAGAGGCAGGGCTCCGGGGGAGAGTTCTGGAATGGACAGGGGTCCGGAGGGAGCCTTGGGGAGGTGTGCAGGGCTCGTGAGGGAGGCTCCTGGAGCAGCTATGAGAGCCACGCTGTGGAATGGACGAGGAGTGGCCTCCGAGGACTATTTCTGGAGACAGGAGGAGGACGGGGGCTTCGGGGCCAAAGGGCGGGGGTCTGCGAGGAAAGCTGCTGGGACCCATGAAGGGCTCGAGGAGGCGACTCCACGGGAGGGGTGGGTTTTGCGGGGACCTTTCAGGGCGCACACGGGGGATCGGCAGGCTTTCCGGGGCTCTCCGAGGGGGATGTGCGGGGGGTCCTGAGGAGAGGCCCCCGGCCCGGCCCCTCGGCAATCCCGAGGGCATGAGAAAGATTTCGGAGGGAAGCTTCGGCCAGGGCCCAGGAGGGAGACTGGGGACGGGCGCGGGGCTTCTCCCGTGGGGCCCGGCCCCCCGAGGCCCGCGTTCCGCACCCGCCCGCCGCCGCCGCCCGCGGTTCGGGGTCCCTGAGGGGGCGGGGCCGCCCGCGCGGCCTGGGTCGCCCTGAGGGGAGCCCCGCGCGCCCCGACTCGCCGCCGCCCCGCGCCGGCCCGGCCCGAGACTCACCGCCTCGGCCTTCGCCGCCACCGCCGCCGCTCGGGCCTCCTCAGGCCACCGCCGCCGCCGTCGCCCCCTCTCGGGCCCGCAAGCTCCCCTCCCTCCTCCCGCACCGACCACCGCCGCCGCCGCCGCCGCCGCCGTCGCGCTGCGTCACCGCGCCGTGCGTCACCGCCCCTGGCCCCGCCCCGACGGGGGCCGCCGCGCGCCGGCATTAGCTCACGCCCGGGTGACGAACGGCGCGCCAGCCAACGGGCGGCGAGGGCAGCCCGAAGGGCGGGAGGTGTGAGCCGAGTAAGGCGGGGTCGCGGCGAGGGGGGAGCGACGGTGGTGGAACGGGGCCCAAGAGGCCCGCCCCCTCCTCGGCGGGATTGGTCGGACGTGGGGGTGACGGGCAGTCGGCCAGGCCTGGGGTTTGGGGCTGGGGGGCGGGGAAGGGGCGGGGCGCGCGGGGCGTTGCCCAGGGCAACGGGCCCGGCGGAGTCTGAGGTTGGGCCTCCAGGCCCGCAGGGGGCAGGCTCGCGCGCGTCCACCCCAGCTGCCCCGAGCGAAGTCACAGTTCCTGATTCAGGCGTTCCAGGCCTCCTCTTCCCCGCCCCTTGGGTGGCCCGCCTCACCCAAGGCTGTCCTCAGTGGGCGTCTGCACTCGGGCTTCTGGGCGCTCGGCTTTCTCATCGCGCTGTTCTCAGCCTTGCCGCTTGCTCTCTCCGATGGGAATGGCGAGGCGAGATCTAGCCTTTAGGGTGGGAAGAGAATGCACAGAAAGCGCTAAGGATCAAGGAGGCTGTCAATAAACGGGAGTTGTTGCTGTGACTTTGGTTGTGATCTGTGCGTTCCACAAACTGTATTGGGTCCGGGTGAACTAATCAGAGGGACCTGTGTTCAGAAGGCTCTCGGTGACAGAGATCTGGCTTGTTACAGGCACTTAGAGAGGCAGTCGGGATGGAGGGTCGAGTTGAAGACAGGGAGGGGTGAGGAACGAGCAGAGGCCAGTTGTTTGGCCACTTGAGGGAGTTTGGACTTGTCCCGAGGGCACTAGGGAGCCGTGAAGGGCTTCAAGCCGGGGAGGATCATGGTGAGTCTGGGGTTTTGGAGAGATGTCTCTCTGGCTTATACATGGAGGGCGGATTGGAGGGAATGAAACGGGATCGGGAGTCCAGGGAGGCAGCTGGGGGAGGGGGTGGGGAAGAAAGAGGGGGTTTGCACGAGGGAGGGACTGTGGGGAGGGAAGGAGGTGCAGGTGGGAGGGACGCCCTGGAGGCAGAGCGAACGGGCCCTGACACTGGCTGGCTATGGAGTGGAAGGGGGAGAAAAGTTTAGGACCAGGCCCCTCTAGCCGGGAGACTGGGCGCCAGAAGCAGGTTGGGAAGATACTAAGCCCAATGTGGATGCCTAGTAGCGAGGTCCAGGAGGTGCACAAACCCTGGGTCTGGAGCTTAAGGGAGAAATTGAGGCTGGAGACCAAGATTTAAGGATCGTCAAAGATGGTAATTGAGGCTGTGGGAGTTAGGGGTCTAGCCCGGGGAGGGTATGAAGGGTCACTGGAGACAGGGACTGAACAGAACCCTGAAACAGAGAGGCAGGATTTGAGCAAAGGAATTGACGCTGTCGATGAATATTGCAAAAGGCAGCCAGAGAGAGGAAAACCAGGAGAGTGTGGCATTATAGACGCTTTGAGGAAAGGCTGTTTCACCAGGGTGGGGCCATGTCACAAACCCCATCCACTACCTCCTGCATTTAAGCAACAGCCTTCACACTGCATAGAATTATTGTGCTCATTAACTGCTGGTTCATTAATTCATTCAATAATATTTCTTGACTATCTAATATGTGCCAGGCTCTGCTTAAGGTGCTAGAAACACAACAATAGGATGAGCGCGGTGGCTCACACCTGTAATCCCAGCATTTTGGGAGGCCGAGGCAGGTGTTCGAGACCAGCCTGACCAACATGGTGAAATCCCATCTCTACTAAAAATACAAAATTAGCGGGGCGTGGTGGCACATGCCTGTAGTCCCAGCTACTTGGGAGGCTGAGGCAAGAGAATCGCTTGAACCCGGGTGGCGGAGGTTGCAGTGAGCCAAGATCGTGCCATTGCACTCCAGCCTGGGCAACAACAGTGAAACTCCGTCTCAAAAAAAAAACAAAAAAAAAACAAAAAGACTTACATTCTAGTTCTTGGGGACACAAACAATAAGGAAATACAGTGTAACTTCGTGATAAGTACCAAGGAGAAAAAGAAAGCAGTGGCTGGGCATGGTGACTCATGCCTGTAATCCCAGCACTTTGGGAGGCTGAGGCTGGTGGATCACTTGAGGCCAGGAGTTTGAGACCAGCCTGGCCAAAGTGGCAAAACCCTGTCTCTACTAAAAATGCCAAAAATTAACTGGGCATAGTGATGCGTGCCTGTAGTTCCAGCTACTCAGGAGGGTGAGGCAGGAGAATCACTTGAACCCAGGAGTCGGAGGTTGCAATAAGCCGAGATTTGCCATTGCACTCTAGCCCAGGTGACAGAGCGAGACTATGTCTCTAAATAAATAAACAAATAAATAACAAGAAAGCAGCTAAGGGAATGGAGTAATGCAGCCAGAATTAATTTACATGGGGAAAGGCCTCTTTCATTAGGTGAGACTGAAACAGAAATCTGAAGGAATGAAGGAGAAAGTGGGTTCCAGAAAGAGAAAACAGCAAGTGCAAAGGCCATGTAGTAGGATCATTCACAGAACCACAAAGGGGCCAGCATTGCTGGAGTGGAGTGAGCAAAAGAGGGCAGTGAAGGACAAGGTCCAAGAGGCAATGGGGTAGGGGTGGTGACAGATAACTTAGTATTTTAGTCATTGTTGGTGTGTGTGTGTGTGTGTGTGTGTGTGTGTGTGGGGGGGGGGGGCAGGGTCTCACTCTGTTGCCCAGACTGGATTGTAGTGGTGCGATCGCGGCTCACTGCAACCTCGGCTCACTGCAACCCCTGCCTCCTGGGTTCAAGTGATTCTCCTGCCTCAGCCTCTGGAGTAGCTGGAACTACAGCCGTATGCCATCAAACCTGGCTAAGTTTTGTATTTTTAGTAGAGATGGGGTTTCACCATGTTGCCCAGGCTGGTCTTGAACTCCTGGACTCAAGTGATCTGCCTGCCTCGGCCTCCCAAAGTGTTGGGATTACAGGCGTGAGCCACTGCGCCTGGCCTGCTGTTTGGTTTTTAGAGATAGGATCTTACTCTGTCACCTGGGCTGGAGTGCAGTGGTGTGATCCTAGCTCACTGCAGCCTCAAACTCCTGGGCTCAAGTGATCCTCCCAACCTCAGCCTCCCAAGTAGCTGGTACCTGGGATTACAGACACATGCCACCATGCCCGGCTACTTTTAAAATTTTTTTGTAGAGACAAGGTCTTGCTATGTTGCCCAGGCTGGTCTTGAACTCCTGGTCTCAAGCAATTCTCCTGCCTTGGCCTCCCAAAGTGCTGGGATTACAGGCATGAGCCACTGTGTCTGGCCCATGGGAGGGTTTGAGACCAGCCTGGCCAACATGGTAAAACCCTGTCTCTACTAAAAATACAAAAATATGGCTAGGCGCGGTGGCTCACACCTGTAATCCCAGCACTTTGGGAAGCTGAGGTGGGCTGATCACGAGGTCAGGAGTTCGAGACTAGCCTGACCAACATGGTGAAACCCCGTCTCTACTAGAAATACAAAAATTAGCTGGTTGTGGTGGCGCACACCTGTAATCCCAGCTACTCATGAGGCTGAGGCAGGAGAACTGCTTGAACCTGGGAGGTGGAGGTTGCAGTGAGCCGAGATTGTGCCACTGCACTCCAGCCTGGGTGACAGAGAGACACTCCATCTCAAGAAAAAAAAAAAAAAATTAGCCGGGTGTGGTGGCTCACGCCTGTAATCCCAGCTACTTGGGAGGCTGAAGTGAGAGAATCGCTTGAACCCAGGAGGCGGAGGTTGCGGTGAGCTGAGATGGTGCCACTGTACTCCAGCCTGGGTGACAGAGCGAGACCCCTGTCTCAAAAAAAAAAAAAAAGAAAAGAAAAAAAGAAAACCAGGCAAGTGTGGTGTCATGAAGACGATGTTTCAGGGAACAGGGAGTGATGGGCTGTGTCAGATGTGGCTGAGGAGGAGTGAGAATTGACCATTAGATCCAGCACCGTGGAGTGCATGGGTGACCTTGACAAGGGCATGTCAGCTGAGAGGAATACAGGTGAAAGGCTGATTGGAGAAGGCAGAAGAGAAAACTGGGAGGAGAAATTGGAGGCAGCAATGTAGATTATTCTTTTGAGAAATCTTTTTTTTTTTTTTGAGAAGGAGTCTCACTCTGTCACCCAGGCTAGAGTGCAGTGGCGCAATCTTGGCTCACTGCAAGCTCCGCCTCCTGGGTTCACGCCATTCTCCTGCCTCATCCTCCTGAGTAACTGGGACTACAGGCACCTGCCACCACGCCCGGCTAATTTTTTGTATTTTTAGTAGAGACGGGGTTTCACCTTGTTAGCCAGGATGGTCTCGATCTCCTGACCTCGTGATCCACCCGCCTTGGCCTCCCAAAGTGCTGGGATTACAGGCATGAGCCACCACGCCCGGCCTCTTTTGAGAAATCTTGCAGAAAAGGGAAGGAAATGAGTGAGCAGCAGCTGGACAGGAGATACAGTTTTATGTTTTTAAGATGGAAGAGGCCAGACACAGTGACTCACGCCTGTAATCCCTGCACACCAGGAGGCTGAGGCAGGAGGATCGCTTGAGGCCAGGAGTTTGAGGCCAGCCTGGGCCACATAGCGAGATCCTGTCTCTATAAAAATCAAAAGTAAAATTGGCCAGGCATGGTGTTGCGTGCCTATAGTCCCAGCTACCTAGGAGGCCAAGGTGGGAAGGTGGCTTGAGCCCAGGAGTTGGAGACTGCAGTGAGCCATGATTACACCGCTGCACTCCAGCCTGGGTAACAGAATGAGACCCTGTCTCAAAATAAAAGAAAAAAAGAAAAGAAAAAAATTAAGATGGAAGAAGTAACACTGCATGGAGGCTAAGGAGAAAGATCCAGGAGGCATGGGGACGTTGGTGAGACAAGAGGGAGAGAGAGGACAGCTGCAGAGATGTAGGTGAAGGGGTAGAGTCCAGTGTAGGGTCCGGGGTTTGCCCACCATGGAGGGAAGTGGGCCAGTCACAGTTGGCCTAGGACCCTGTGGAAATTGTCTTTTGTTTGCTTTTATCTTCTCACTGAAATACATATGGTTTTTGTGTGAACTACATTCCTTTTATTTCTTCTTTATATGACAGTCAGGACATTATATTGATTTTTTTTTGAATTTATGTGTGTAAGTAGGTTATATTATCTAGGAATTTTATTTCGGGATGGGAAAAGGGGGCAGTGCAAAAATACTCAATAAAAAAAATAGCCGGGCATGGTGGCTCACAGTGGCTCACACCTGGAATCCCAGCACTTTCGGAGGCTGAGGCAGGTGGATCATTTGAGGTCAGGAGTTCGAGACCAACATGGCCAACATGGTGAAACCCCATCTCTACTAAAAATACAAAAATTAGCCGGGCGTAGTGGCACGTGCCTGTAGTCCCAGCTACTTGGGAGGCTGAGGCCGGAGAATGGCTTGAACCTGGGAGGCGGAGGTTGCAGTGAGCTGAGATCGCACCACTGCACTCCAGCCTGGGCGACAGAGTGAGACCCTGTCTCAAAAAAAAAAAATTGGGTACCGGTCTGACGGGATTGAACTCCCTTGTTGTAGGGCCTCATAGGTCATTGCAAGGCTAGTGAGGTTGGAAAAGTGCAGGAAAAAAGTCACCATTACCCAGGCACTGTGGGGTTGCCCCTCTGGTCCCCATTTTGCCATTGACATAATGGGCGTCAGTCTGACCAGCAAAAGACTAAACTCCCCTTTTCCAGCCCTGCAATTCAAATATCCCAGATGGGGGTAAATCTAGGAAGGCCACCTGGAGGAGGGGAGGAGCAAAATAGTTCGTTTTTAGTACCTATTGTGTCTGCCATGCTGGCAGCTATGTGAAGCTATTTATTTATTTATTTTTATTTATTTGTATTTTTATTGCCTGGGATAGAGTGCAATGATGTGATCTTGGCTCACTGCAACCTCTGCTGCTCGGATTCAAGCAATTCTTGTGCCTCAGACTCCCGAGTAGCTGGGATCACAGGCGTGCACCACCATGCCAGGCTAATATTTTGTATTTTTAGTAGAGATGGGGTTTTGCCATGTTGGTCAGGCTGGTCTCCAACTCCTGACCTCAGGTGATCCGCCCGCCTCGGCCTCCCAAAGTGCTGGCATTACAGGTGTGAGCCACCATGCCCGGCCGATGTGAAGCTATTTATATCCTCACCACAATCTCAAATCAGAGGGGTGAAGTTACTTAGCTAGGGTCACACAGCAAGGAAGCTTTGGAACCCTGGTCTGAGCGATTTCCTGACAGGTCCTGGCAGATGAGGGGAAGGAAGGAGGGGGAGGAGCCCTCTGTGACAGTTGTCCCAGAAAGGGCATAAACAGGATGTGGTGTTGGATGAAACCTTCCTCCTACTGCACAGCCCGCCCCCCTACAGCCCCGGTCCCCACGCCTAGAAGACAGCGGAACTAAGAAAAGAAGAGGCCTGTGGACAGAACAATCATGGTCAGGGGCCAGGGGTTCTATGGGAAGAGCTGGGGCTGGGGTTGGGGCTGGGGCTTGGAGGACACCTGGGCGAAGGTCAGGCTATGGGATGGAGGTCACGGGCCGGGAAGGGGGCCCAACTGTGGTGAACAGCCCGGCTGGAAGAACAGAGAGACAGTGGCTCTGGGTTTAGGCTCAGGAAGTGGATCTCTGCACCTCCTTGAGTGTCCCCCAAGAGTCCCCGTGGAGAAGGCGGGAACCCAGCCTCTGCTCCGCCCCCCAAGCTGAGTGCCCTGGTGAGGGGTATCTACTCTGTGGGAAGGGTGCCTTTTCTCAATGTTCACAAAGGCATCAGATGGGCCGGCGCGATGCTCCTCTTCATTAGTGGATGGAGAAACAGGTTTGGGGAAGGGGTGAGGGCTGAGGCCAGGCCATTTCAGCTCTTCCTGGGTCCCTCCGGCAGTCTGACTCCCTGGTGGTGTGCGAGGTAGACCCAGAGCTAACAGAAAAGCTGAGGAAATTCCGCTTCCGAAAAGAGACAGACAATGCAGCCATCATAAGTGAGTGACATCTTCCCCCACAGAAGGATGGGAGGGCGGTGGTGAGGGCAGATAGGGAGGGCTGGGCTTGTGTCCCCCATGGATCAGGGGGAGTGTCTAATCCCTGTGTGCCACCCCTCCCCAGTGAAGGTGGACAAAGACCGGCAGATGGTGGTGCTGGAGGAAGAATTTCAGGTGATGGGCTGGGGTGATTGGGACTGGGAGGTACAGGGTGAGACTGGGAGAACCAAGTGGTTGGAACTGATATGAAGAGCCTGGCATGGGGGTAGAAAGACCTGGAGATTGGCCGAGCACAGTGGCTCATGCCTGTAATCCCAGCACTTTGGGAGGCCGAGGCAGGTGGATCACCTGAGGTTGGGAGTTCAAGACCAGCCTGGCAAACATGGTGAAACCCCATCTGTACTAAAAATATAAAAAGTTAGCTAGGCATGGTGGTGGGCACCTGTAATCACAGCTACTTGGGAGGCCGAGGCAGGAGAATCGCTGGAACCCGGGAGATGGAGGCTGTAGTGAGCCGAGATTGTGCCACTACACTTCAGTCTGAACCACAGAGCAAGACTCTGTCTCAAAAACAAAAACAAAAAACAAAAAAACAAAAAACCCTGGAGATCAAGTTCTAGCTCACTCATGACCCCCAGCAAGAGACTTTGCCTGTTTGTGTCTCTATTTCCTCATCTGTGAAATGGGGAGAATAGTACTTATCTCATAGGCTTGTTTTTACATCCAGTGATTTAATTCTTGTAATGGGTTTAGAACAAGGCCTGGCACTTAGTATGTGCTCAATAAGGTGATGATGATCTTAATAATGATGATAATAATGCTTTATTGGCATTTAAATGAAAGAGTTTCCATATAAGTTAAAAAGCTAGCCAGGCATGGTGGCTCATGCCTGTAATCCCAGCGCTTTGGGAGGCTGAGGCAGGAGGATCACTTGAGCCCAGGAGTTTAAGACCAGCCTGGGCAACATGGTAACACCCTAACTCTACTAAAAATACAAAAATTAGCCAAGCACAGTGGTGTGCACCTGTGATCTCAGCTACACAGGAGGCTGAGGTGGGAGGGTTGCTTGAGGCTGGGAGTTTTGAGACCAACCTGGGCAACAAAGCAAGACCCCATCTCGGCTGGGTGCCGTGGCTCACGCCTGTAATCTCAGCACTTTGGGAGGCTGAGGCGGGCGGATCACAAGGTCAGGAGATCGAGACCATCCTGGCTAACATGGTGAAACCCCGTCTCTACTAAAAATTCAAAAAATTAGCTGGGTGTGGTGGCGGGTGCCTGTAGTCCCAGCTACTCGGGAGGCTGAGGCAGGAGAATGGCGTGAACCCCGGAGGCGGAGCTTGCAGTGAGCCAAGATCGTGCCACTGCACTCCAGCCTGGGCGACAGACTCTGTCTCAAAAAAAAAAAAAAAAAAAAAAAGACTCCATCTCTACAAAAAAAAAAAAGGGGGTAGACCTCACCCCCCTGGTGGCCTCACTGTCTTTATCAATAACAAGAATGATAATAAGGCTTATTTCTCTAGTGTTGCGATAAGGATTTATAAGGGAATCCATGGAGACTGGGGGCTGGGGCTCTCTCAGGCCCTCTGAAAGGCAGTATAGTGAAGCAGTTATGATTCGAACCCAGATTCAAATCTCAACTCTGCTGCTTTCTATCTGTGCAATCTTGGGCAAATGCCTTAACACCTCTGGGCCTCAGTTTTCTCAGCTGTATAGTGGGCATAATGATGGGACCTACCCCACAGACTTACGGGATAGTTGCATGAATTAATCCATGTGTGTTTCATAGAACGATGCCTTGGCACATGGTAAGTGCTCACCTAAAGGTGGTCATTCTTTTTTTTTTTTTTTTTTTTGAGACGGAGTTTCGATCTTTTTTGCTCAGGCTGGAGTGCTATGGCACAATCTTGATTCACTGCAACCTCCGCCTCCCGGGTTCAAGCAATTCTCCTGCCTCAGCCTCCTGAACACGCCTGGCTAATTTTTTTGTTGGAAATGGAGTCTCACTCTGTCTCCCAGGCTGGAGTGCAGTGGCGCGATCTCGGCTCACTGCAACCTCTGCATCCCGGATTCAAGCAATTCTCCTGCCTCAGCCTCTCGAGTAGCTGGGACTACAGGTGCATGCCACCATGCCTGGCTAATTTTCTGTATTTTTAGTAGAGACGGGTTTCACCCTGTTAGCCAGGATGGTCTGAATGATTTCCTGACCTTGTGATCCGCCTGCCTCGGCCTCCCAAAGTGCTGGGATTACAGGTGTGAGCCACTGCGCCCTGCCTCATTCTTTGTCTTTTCTTCTGTTTTCTTGCCTCAGAACATTTCCCCAGAGGAGCTCAAAATGGAGTTGCCGGAGAGACAGCCCAGGTATCCTGGGGGAAGAAAGGGTTGGATCAGGCCATGAGGGGAGGGGTGATGTTGGAGGTATAGGCTAAGGGACTGCTGGAGTTCCAGCCCTATTCATGGACTTTGAATCTCTGTGTTTGGCCGAGTGAGGTGGCTCATCCCTGTAATCCCAGCACTTTGGGAGGTCAAGGAGGGTGGATCACTTGAGGTCAGGAGTTCAAGACTAGCCTGACCAACATGGTGAAATCCCGTCTCTACTAAAAATACAAAAATTAACTGGGCGTGGTGGCATGTGACTGTAATCCCAGCTACTTGGGAGGCTGAGGCACGAGAATCGCTTGAACCTGGCAGGCAGAGGCTGCAGTGAGCTGAGATCACACCACTGCACTCCAGCCTGGGTGACACAGCGAGACTCTATCTCAAAAAAAAAAAAAAAAAAAAGAATCTCTGTGTTTGAGGCCAAGAGTTCATACTCTAGAACTTTTTGTTTGTATAGCAATATTTTATTGCAGAATTTTATACCGATTATTTATGATACCGGTTTAAGAGTCTTTTTTTTTTTTTTGTACAAACTTTGTTGAGTTTTTGTTTCAACATTACGCTGGCATCATTTTTTAAAAATGAAATTTTGGCCAGGTACTATGACTCCCACCTGTAATCTCAGCCCTTTGGGAGCCTGAGGCGGGAGGATCACCTGAGGCCAGGAGTTCGAGACTAGCCTGGGCAACATAGCAAGACCTTGTCTCTATTTTTTTTTTTTTTTTGTTAGAGACAGAGTCTCGCTCTGTTGCCCAGGTTGGAGTGCAGTGGCGCGATCTTGACTCACTGCAACCTCCGCCTCCTGGGTTCAAGCGATTCTCTGGCCTCAGCCTCCTGAGTAGCTGGGATTACAGGGGCCCACCACCATGTCTGGATAATTTTTGTATTTTTAGTAGAGACATGTTGGCCAGGCTGGTCTCGAACTCCTAACCTCAGGTGATCCCTGCTTCGGCCTCCCAAAGTGCTGGGATTACAGGCGTGAGCCACCGCGCCTGGTGGAGGACCTTGTCTCTATTAAAAAAAAAAAAAATTAGCCAGGCATGGTGGCATGTGCCTGTGGTTCCAGCTACTTGGGAGGCTGATGTCGGGGGTCAGTTGAGTTCAGGAAGCTGAGGCTGCAAGTGAGCCAAGATAGCACCCCTGTACTCCAGCCTGGGTGACAGAGCAAGACCCTGTCTCAAAAAAACAAAAAAAGAAATTTTCCTTCTTTTTCAATGTTTGGGAACACTTTAGGTAGCAAACAAATTAATTATTATTATTGTTATTTTATTAAAAAAATTTTTAGAGACAGGGTCTCACTGTGTCACCCAGGCTATTGGGCAGTGCTGTGATCCTGGCTCACTGTAGCCTCTAACTCCTGGGCTCAAGCCATCCTCCTGCCTCAGCCTCCCAAGTAACTGGGACTACAGGCACTGCCACTGCACCCTGCTAAAGGAATGACTCGACTTTTAACTATCAGGTAGAATCCTGGGCGAAGTCACATGAGCCTGGTGCTTTTTTTGGTGGAAGAGCTCTTTGACTATTTCTGTGAAAACTGGTCTGCTAAGATTTTTCATCTTGACTGAATTCATTTTGGGTCTCTAGGATTAGAGGCTGTAGGACTCAACAAGGACCAGCTTCATGGGCATATGATAATTGCACAGGGCCCCGCACCCAGGAGGGGGCCTCACACATGGGGGTTAACGGTCACCTTCTTTATAGTTTTATCTTTGAATTTCTGTTTTGTATGAAGTCAGATGGGACAATGGACTTCACACAAATGTGCTGGGGTTTGGAGCTAGGTTCACAGGCAGTCCACCACCTGGCTGCCTCCCTGAACAGGTTCTCAGCCACCCACTCTCTGCACCCACCCAGTGACCGCTGCTGTCCTTGGGTTTCCTGCTGGTGTAGGGAGGGTCAGGGTCCAGAAGGCACCCCTTGCCTGACAAGTTACAGGGTGTTCCTGTGAGCATCTGCACTCTGCCTGCGCATATCCTCATGCCCGAGGGAGCACGACTTTAAATAGCAAACTAAAAAAGACAGGCTGAGCGCAGTGGCTCACACCTGTAATCTCAGCACTTTGGGAGTCTGAGGTGGGAGTACTGCTTGTGGCCAGGAGTTCAAGACCAGCCTGGGCAACATAACAAGACCCCCATTTCTACTAAAATTTTTTAAAAAAAGGCCAGGCGCAGTGGCTCATGCCTGTAATCCCAGCACTTTGGGAGGCTGAGGTGGACAGATCACTTGAGCTCAGGAGTTCGAGACCAGCCTGGGCAACATGGTGAAACTCTGTCTCTGCAAAAAACACAAAAAACATTAGCTGGATGTGGTGGCACGCCCCTGTAATCTCAGCTACTTGGGGGGCTGAGGCAGGAGGATCACCTGAACCTGGGAGGTCGAGGCTGCAATGAGCTGAGACCACGTCCCTGTACTCCAACCTGGGTGACAAAGTGAGACCCTGTCTCAAAAAAAAAAAAAAAAAAATTAGCTGGGCATGGTGGTGTGCACCTATACTCCCAGCTACTCTGGAGGCTGAGATAGGAGGATTGCTTGAGCCCAGGAGTTCAAGACTGCAGTGAGCTAGGATCGCACCATTGCACTCCAGCCTGGGCAACAGAGTGAGGCCCTGTCTCTAATAACAGTAAAAAAAAAAGACGATGATCAGTCTAGAGAGAGACTACAAAAGAAAGGAAAACAATTTTCCTGCTTCTTGAACAAGATGCCCCACATTTTCATTTTATACCGGGCTTGGATGATTCTGTAGCCATCACTGGTCACAGTGCACCTGGGGTTCAAGTGCACTGGACAGAATTGCATAGGGGGTGAGAACTTACACGCTGGCATTCACTTTCCCAGGTTCAAATCTCTCCCCTATCTGTAGAACCTTAGGCAAGTGACTTTGGGCCTCAGTTTTCTCATCTGTACGATGGGGATATTAATAGCACCTATATTATAAAGTAATTGTGAGTCAAATGAGCACTATCATTATTATTATTATTTGAGATGGAGTTCCACTTTTGTCACCCACGCTGGAGTGCAATGGCGTGATCTTGGCTCACTGCAACCTCTGCCTCCTGAGTTCAAGCGATTCTCCTGCCTCAGCCTCCTGACTAGCTGGGATTACAGGCGCCCACCACTACTCCAGGCTAATTTTTGTATTTTTAGTAGAGACGAGGTTTCACCATGTTGGCCAGGCTGGTCTCGAACTCCTGATCTCAGGTGATCCACCCGCCTCGGCCTCCCAAAGTGCTGGGATTATAGGTGTGAGTCCTGCGCCCGGCCCTATGATTATTTTTTAATCATTTGTTGTGTTTGAGGTCAGTACCCTGAGTCCCAGACATCAACCCTGGGTTCTCAGACTCAGCCAACATTTCAAGGCTGTGGACTCAGGTAATGGCTGTTAAGCCTGGGCTGCAGGCCAGAGTCCTGATTTTCAATTCCCTTTCACGGTAGGTTCGTGGTTTACAGCTACAAGTACGTGCATGACGATGGCCGAGTGTCCTACCCTTTGTGTTTCATCTTCTCCAGCCCTGTGGGTGAGACACAGCTCTACTGTCCTCAGGAGAGGGTCTTCGATTCTGTGTGTGTGTGTTTGTGTGTAAATGCGAATGTGTGCAGGCACTTGTGTAAGAGTGTGAGCATGTGACAGCCTGTGTGTGACTGGGTGAGGATGTGTGTGTGTCGCACGCATGATGTGGGAGGGCAGTGAAGTGGAGGTGGGGGCTCAGATTCACCAAGAGCCCACCCGTTCTCAGTCCTGGGGCCTAAGCCAACCCACCTTTTCCTTTCACCTAGAAATCCCCGTCTGGCCCCTAAATCATCTCCAGAGACCCTCAGAATAACTTGAAGCCCCCAAGCCAACCTAGAAACTGAGTACAGTGCAGGGACCTCCTTAGAAGAGCTCCTAGGACCCTTGGCAAGCTGCAGGGCCTTCAGGACATTACTAGAGCTTTAGAGAACACGCCTGGGTCCCCACTGATGTGCCTTTCTCCTCTTTTCCACGCAGGCTGCAAGCCGGAACAACAGATGATGTATGCAGGGAGTAAAAACAGGCTGGTGCAGACAGCAGAGCTCACAAAGGTTCAGACTGGGATGGGGCTCCAGAGTGTTAGGGAGAGGTGGTGTGGGTCCTGGGTCTGAGGGAAGAGGGACTAGAGTCCTCACTGTCTCAGTGGTTTTTGTTTTTGTTTTTGTTTTTTTAAAGAACTGGGTCTCGCTCTGTCATCCAGGCTGGAGTGCAGTGGCACAACCTCGGCTCACTGCAACCTCCTCCTCCTGGGTTCAAGCAATTCTCCTGCCTCAGCCTCCCAAGTAGTGGGACGACAGGCACACGCCACCACACCTGGCTACTTTTTGTATTTTTAGTAGAGTCAGGGTTTCACCATATTGGCCAGGCTGGTCTCGAACTCCTGACCTTAAGTGATCCACCCACCTCAGCCTCCCAAAGTGCTCTCTTACAGGTGAGCCACCGTGCCCAGCCACTGTCTCAGTGTTTGAGTAGATCATAATGCCGAGACCTCTCTCTGCCCAGGTGTTCGAAATCCGCACCACTGATGACCTCACTGAGGCCTGGCTCCAAGAAAAGTTGTCTTTCTTTCGTTGATCTCTGGGCTGGGGACTGAATTCCTGATGTCTGAGTCCTCAAGGTGACTGGGGACTTGGAACCCCTAGGACCTGAACAACCAAGACTTTAAATAAATTTTAAAATGCAAAAACTCGGAGATCCTCAGTTTGGACTCAGTTTCTGCCTCTTCTGGGCTCTAGCCGACGGTTCCTGCAGTACGAGGCTTGGGCCAGCAGGGGGCGGGCTGACCTAGAGGAATGCGAGCTGGGTCCCGGGAGGGAAGGAGGATACCTCTTTCTTAGAAAGAAAGGGAAGGGCCTGAAGGATTTCCTTGGGGGGTGGGGGACGGATGGGCGAGGCCTGGGTCTCCTGGAGGTATTGGGGAAATATCTGGATCTACAGAGCGGTCACTCCCAAGGGGAACAAGGACCCCTGAGAATAAAGGAGGCAAAGTGCCCGTTTCCTCCCCCACTCCCCACCTCTGGGGGGTAGGAGGCATCACCGAATGCGACTTTTCTCAGCTGAGCCCTTAGATAGGAAGAATTTAAAGGCCGAAGAGGTTTGAACGTAATTGCTTCAGGATCTCAGGAGCTGCTGGGGGGTGGATGGTTTGTACGGTCAGGTAGGCCTGAACACCCAGGGCTGGGGAAGCTGAAGTCGATCCTGGGCCCTCGGTGGACTCCCAGGGGTGTGAGATTGAGGAGACAGGGAAGGGACACTTGCCCCCATCTGAAGATTCTTCTTTTCTTTTTTCTGGCATCTCTTGACATCGAACTTTCTCAGGCTTTCTGCGTCTGTCTCTGAGGGACATTGATTAAGTACCCACAATGTACCGGGCTCTGAGAATTCCGAGATGGGCAGGTCTTCACAGAGATGAATCACACCCTTTCTGTCTCTCTGCTTCTCTTCCATGTTTCTAATTGTTCCCCTCTCTGTCCCCGGTTTCAGGGACGTGGGAACTCCCTCCCCCCACCCCTTTTCAGGTTCCCGGTAGAGAGGTGGCTGTTGCCATGGTAACAAAGACATAGTGACCTTGGGCCTGGGCTGCCCGTTCCCCCAACCTTGGTGTTTCCGGGGATAGGGTCCAAAAAGCCCAGCTCCAAGCCCTCCCAGCCTTAACACACCATCCCCTTACCACCCCACTCTACCCTATCTCTTGCCCGCTCACCCCCAATCAGGGCAAGTCCTTTGCATGAGGGATTCGGGATAGAATCACTCTACACTGGTCCATAGAGAAAATTCACCCTGCCCTAAATTCTCTGGAGGGTTAGGTTGAGCTCCTCTGCCCTCCACTAGTGCTGTTTTCCTGTCCCTATCTCTCTGTCCCTCCCTCTGATCACAGGCCCAGTCCCTGAAGGCAGGAGATGGAGGAGGAGGAGGACTGGAGACAAGAGGGGTCATTCAATTAAATGGACAAGGAACTCCTGGCCTGCAGAGGTCAGAGAGGCAGAGGGACTCATCCAAGGTCATGCACTTACATGATCAAATGAATACTAATAGCTGACCCTCCTCTTGAGGGCTTCCTATGTACCAGGTACTTCTATAAGCAGTTTATAGGCATTAGCTTATTTAATTATTGCAATACCTCGTGAAAAAGGTACTATTATTCTCTCCAACTTAAAGACGATAAAAATCTGAGGCATAGAAGCCAAAGGCACCTGTGGTCTGTACAGTTAGAACTCTTTAAGCCCAGGCTATCTTGGGGGTCAATGGCCACACTCTCTCTTAGGCAAGAGACTTAGGGAACCTCCTCCTCCTCCCCGCTCCCCTCCCCCTCCCCTCCCCTTCCCTCTCCCCCTCCCCCTCCCCCCCCTCCTCCTCGTCCTCCTTGGTGGTACTCCCACCCTCCATAGTGGAACTTCTGTTTCATCCAGGCTTGTGATTACAAACGGTCCAATCAGAAAGAGCCATGCACAAGGACTTGCCCGATCAGGAGCAAAGCATGGGAAAGCAGGGGCCAATCAGAAAGGGTGGCTCACAGGCGCAGTCCAATGCAGAGGGAGTACAGCTAGGGATTGTGGAAGGACCAATCAGAGAGGCCAGAACAGACTGCACTATCCAATGAGGAGTCAGCACAATGGGACGTGTCTTCGGGTTTGGGGAGATTCCCTGGAGAGGCAGTACAAACTGGGGACCGCCTCCTCTAGTTCCACCAACCTATCCTATAAACGCCCACAGATCCAAGCTCCCTAAGTTTTGAGTCGGTGCCCTAGACTTGGGGGACTTCCTAACCTTGAAAGGGCCGGAATGGGCATTGCTTAGCTTTAAAAGGGCTGGAGTTTTTGCTTTGGGGCAGGGCCTAAGAGTCTGGGGGTGGGGCCTAGGCTTGGGGCGGGGCCAGAAGAATGGGATTGGTAGAGGGTCTGTATTAGGTTTGGGGCAGGAATTAGGGCTCCAGGGAAACAATTAAGATGTCTAGTTCAACCTGTTGCCCGTTTTTCAGGCCAACTCACACATTCCCTTACCTTATGGGACATTCTCCAGCTGCTGGGTATACCCTTTTCTTCTAGGGAACCTGGGCTAAGAGGTCGTTATTTATTCCTTCCTGTGGTCCCTGAACTGAGTCTGGAGCCAGACTAGATCCCCAGTCCTCTCCCAAGACGCATTTGAGAACACATGTTGGGCCAGGCACGGTGGCTCACGCCTGTAATCCCAGAGGATCACCTAAGGTCAGGAGTTCGAGACCAGCCTGGTCAACATGGTGAAACCCCATCTCTACTAAAAATACAAAAAAATAGCTGGGCGTGGTGGTACGTGCCTGTAATCCCAGCTACTCGGGAGGCTGAGGCCGGAGAATTCACTTGAGCCGGAGAGGCAGAGGTTGCAGTGAGCCGAGATCGCTCCATTGCACTCCAGCCTGGACAACAAGAGCAAAACTCCGTCTCCAAAATAAATAAATACATAAATAAATAAAAATAAAATAAAAAGAACACATGTTGTCTAGGTGCAGTGGCTCACACCTTGTAATCCCTACATTTTGGGGGGCCGAGGCTGGAAATCTTAGAGGCCGAGAGTGTGCGACCAGCCTGGACAACATAATGAGACCGCTTCTCTACAAAAAATAAAAAATTAGCTGGGTGTGGGGGTGCGTGCCTGTAGTTGGGAGGCTGAAGTGGGAGGATCACCTGAGCCTGGGGAGGTCGAGGCTGCAGTGAGCCATGATCACGCCACTGCACTCCAGCCTGGGTGACAGAGGGAGACCCTGTCTTTAAGAAAAGCACGTTTACTGAGTTCCTGGGTGGCAGTCACTATTCTGGGCACTGGAAGATGTTGGTGTCCGTGCCACTTCCCTTGGGAGGCTTATATTTCAATGACTAGACAGTAAATAAATAACAATAAATAGGTAAACAAGTAAACAAAATAAGAGGGTGACAAGAGCCAGGCGCAGTGGTTCACGCCTGTAATCCCAGCACTTTGGGAGGCCAAGGCAGGAGGATGGCTTGAGCCCAGGAGTTCGAGACCAACCTGGGCAACACAGCAAGACCTCATCTCTTTTTTCCTTTTAAAATAAAAATAAAGAGAGTGATAAATACTATAAGGGAAATAAATAAGGTGATGTGCTAGATAGAAATGGTGGCACCTGGTGGGGCTGTTTGTTGCCGCCAGAAGAGTCCTGCTTCCCCACTCCCTAACATTTACTATGAAACATTTCAAACATGCAGCCAAGTTGAAATAATTATATATATATGTGTGTGTGTGTGTGTATTATATATATATCTATATATATATTTATATAAAAGTTTATTAGAGATGGGGTCTCGCTATGTTGCCCGGCTGGTCTTGAACTCCTGGGCTCAACTGATCCTCCCTCCTCGGCCTCCCAAAATGCTGAGATTGCAGATGTGAGCCACCACGCCCAGCCTGAGTTGAAATAATTTTATAGTGAACACTCATATACCCATCACTTAGATGCCACCACTGACACGTCAAGGTATTACTTCATCATATATCCATCCAGCCACCCTTCTTCCTCCTCCTTCTCCTCCTCTTCCTCTTCTTCCTCCTCTTCTTCCTCCTTTCTTCTTCCTCCTCCTCCTTCTTCTTCCTCTTCCTTTCTTTTCTTCTCTCTTTTCTTTTCTCTTCTTCCTCCTCCTCTTCCTCCCCTCCTCCTCCTCCTCCTCCTCCTTCTTCTTCCTTTCTTCTCTCCTTCTCCTTCTTCTTCTATTTCAAAGTAACATCAGACTGCTGGTTGGGGGCCCAGGTAGGGATGGTGTGTGTAAATTGGGGATGGAAAAGGAAGGTCTCTTTGAAGAGATTACATTTAAGACCATCATGAAAAGAAAGAACCAGCAGCCATGGAAAGGGGAGAAGAGTGCATATGCTCAGGGGCTGCTGCTGTGGGCTGGTGTGTTGGAGGAATAGGAAAGTCATCGTAGAAGCTGAACAAGGGGTCGGATGCGGTGGCTCACACCTGTAATCCCAGCACTTTGGGAGACTGAGGTGGGCGGATCACTTGAGGTCAGGAGTTCGAGACCAGCTTGACCAACATGGCAAAACCCTGTCTCTACTAAAAATACAAAAATTAGCCGGGTGTGGTGGTGGGCGCCTGTGGTCCCAGCTACTCAGGCTGAGGTAGGAGAATCGCTTGAGCCTGGGAGGCAGAGGTTGCAGTAAGCCGAGATCATGCCACTGCACTCCAGCCTGGGTGACAGAGTGAGGCCCTGTCTCAAAAAAGAAAAGAAAAGTCATTGTTAAAACTGAAAGAGGGGCCAGGAGTGGTGGTGCACGCCTGTAAACCCAGCACTTTGGGAGGCTGAGGCGGGAGGATCACTTGATCCCAGGAGTTCCAGACCAGCCTGGGCAACATAGTGAGACCCCCATTTCTAAAAAAAAAAAGAAAAAAAAAAAAAAGAAGAAGAAGAAGCTGGAACAGAAGAGGAGAGTCGTTGGAAATAGGGTCAGCTGGGACCAGAGCTCACAGGGCCAGATTGGCTCTATGAATAAGGCATATCTCCCTCGGTTTCAGCTTCTTTCTTCTTCCATCTGTCTCTCTTATTATTATCTTTTTTTCTCTCCCTCTCTTTTCTACTCCTGTCCAGCCCAGGCCTACCCTCACCCTCTTTCCCCATCACCCCTACCCTGTTCTGCCACATACTATCTGTGTGACCTTGGGCAAGTGACCAAACCTCTCTGTGCCTCTATTTCCCTTATCCATAAAATGGGGATGGTAATAGGACCTCTTCATTTGGCTGTTGTGTAGATTGAATGAAGTGATAGATGTGAAACCCTTAGAATCATTTCTGGCACATAAATAGTGCTGTATATGTGTTCACTTGTGTTGTTGTTGTTATTCCTACCCCCAAGCTCCAGCAGGGAGCACTAGCAACCACGGTGGGAGGTGGGGATGCTGCCTGGGTGGTGGCGATGAAGGGTGGAGTCTGGAGAATAGGGGGATTGTGAGTGTCCCCAGGGACATCTCAGAGTTGCGCTTGGGGTTAAGGTTCACCAGAAGGAGTTATCTGCAGAGCTGAGCTTGATCTGGGGGATAGGGCGGGCTTCATGTAAATAATTTAGGCCAGGCACAGTAGCTCATGACCACCGTGGTCAGGAGTTCAAGACCAGCCTGGGCAACATAGTGAGACTCCATTTATAAAAAAACTAAAACAAAACCAAAAACAAAACAGCTACTGAGGAGGCTGAGATGGGAGGAACACTTGAGCCCAGGAGGTCCAGGCTGCAGTGAGCTGTGATCACACCAGTGCACTCCTGCCTGGGTGATGGAGTGAGACTCTGACTCAAAAACAAACAAATAAAAAAAAAGAAAGAAAGAAAAATTAGACTGGGTGCGGTGGCTCATGCCTGTAATCCCAGCACTTTGGGAGGCTGAGGCGGGCGGATCACTTGAGGCCAAGAGTTCGAGACCAGCCTGGCCAACATGACAAAACCCTGTCTCCACTAAAAATACAAAAAGTAGCCAGGCATGGTGGGACATGCCTGTAGTCCCAGCTACTCGGAAGGCTGAGGCAGGAGAATTGCTTGAACCCGGGAAGCAGAGGTTGCGGTGAGCGGAGACCATGCCAGTGCACTCCAGCCTGGGCAACAGAGCAAGACTCTGTCTCAAAAAAAAAAAAAAAAAGAAAAGAAAAAAGAAAAAGAAAAGAAAAATTAGCCGGGCGTGGTGGCGCACACCTGTAATCCCAGCTACTAGGGAGGCTGAGGCAGGAGAATTGCTTGAACCTGGGAGGTGGAGGTTGCAGTGAGCCGAGATCGTGCCACTCTACTCCAGCCTGGGTGACAGAGTGAGACTTTGTCTAAAAAAAAAAAAAAATTAGGAAAGGGGTTTAGAGGAGGACCTCTGTACAGTGGGATCCAAAACGAGAAGGGTTTGAGACCCCAGGAATCTGGGGCACTGCATGAAACAACACAGATTTTTAGGGGAGAAGTTGCTGGGTTTAGGGACCCTGTGAATATCTCAGAAAGAGAAGGAGAGTGGCCTGAGATACTCAGTGGGGTTTGAGGGAAGGGGTGGGGTTCAGCTATGGGACAGGGGATGGGCAAAGGGGTCTGAACTAGGAAGGAGCAAGGCATTCTGGGCTCTATGGAAGTCACAGGGAGGGGGGACTTTCAGGGTCCAAGAGAAAGAACTGGAGCAAGAAGGAGGCAGGGTCCTCAAGGGGGCAGGACTAGTAGGGGGTGGGAAAAAATTGGGGCTAATTGGGGAGTTTTGGAAACCAAAGGATGTCTTGGAGGAGAAGGAGAGAGAAAGGTGTAAGGTCAAAGGGGTGGAAGATGGTTTGGGGTCTAATGGGGTTCATGGGGAAAGTTTAAGGGTCTTCCATAGGGATAAGAGACATTTTAGGGCCCCCTAGAAGTTAGGCATGGTTTGGAGTTCATACTGGGGGTAAGGGAATGGGTTAGGGTCCTTGAGGGTAGAAGGACATGGCTGGGGGTCCCCAAGAAGGAGTGGAATATGATTTGTGGTTCTGGTGGCTGTAGAATGTGGTTTGGGTCCCCAAAGGGAGTCAGGCACCATCTGGGATTTGGCTGACATATGGTCTGAAGTCTCCCCCGATGTTAGGGTATGATTTGGGGTCCGTGAGGGAAGGGGTGTGGTCTGGGGGTCTATCTGAATGTTGGGATATGATTTAGGGTTGCTGGTGGGGTGGTCTGGATCCCCTTGGATGCTGGGATATGATCTGGGATTCTTCTGGGTTTGGGGGCATGGTCTGGGGTTCCTGACAGTGTGTGGGTCATAGTCTGAGGTCAAGCAGGAGAGCAGGGCATGATTTGTGGTCCTGGGTGGCCCTAGAACATCGCCTGGGTTCTCAAAAGAGGTGAGGCCTGATCCGAGGTCCCCCTGGGTATTAGGACGTGATGGGAGGTCTCTGTAGGGAGATCCGGGGTCCCTAGGCCAGTTGGGGCGTGGTCTGGGGGGGTCTCCGGGGAGGCCGGCGGGGCTGGGGGTGGGGCTGGGGAAGGGTCGGGGGCGGGCCCGCGGCGGCTCGGCAGTGGAGAGGGGTCTGCGGCGGGTTCGGGGCGGGGATCCCGGGTGTGCGACCGCCCCGCCCGGCCGCCCCCACCAGTCGGCGCCCCCTCCCCCCTTGCGGCGGCGGTGGCGGCGGGCGGCGCGGAGGGCGGAGCTCGGCTGCGGCTCGGGAGGGAGGGCGGGAGGCGGGAGGGAGGCGGCCCCGCGGCACCGCGCCCCCTCCCCCGGCCCTCCCCCCACCATGGCGCGGAGCGAGGCAGCGGCGGCGGGGCCGGGCCCGGGGCCCCCCCGGGCTGGGTGAGCGCGGCCTGCAGCGGCCCGGGAGCGGCGGGCGGGGGCGCGGGTGTGTGCGCGGGTGTGAGCGTGCGAGCGTGCGAGTGTGTGTCCGTGGCGCTGCGGCGGGCCCGGCGTGCGCCCGCGCGGCCCTATGTGTGCCCGGTGCCGGCGTGTGCGGCGCCCTGCCCGTGTGGCCATCGGGTGTGCGCGGGGTGTCGAGCCCGGCCGGCGTGTCCGGCTGTGCACGCGTGTCCCCCCGAGCGGCCGCCCCTCCGGCTGTGTGTCTGGGCGCTGTCGCGCGCCCATCGGAGGGGCTGTGTGCAGGTGTGTGTGTGCGTGGGTTGTGTGCCCAGGTGTGGGTCCCCCCCAAGCCCATGTGCGTGCGCGACTAGCTGCTCTGGGTGTTTGTGTCCGGGTTGGATGTCCATCCCCGGGTCTGTGGAGCCGGGTGTGCCCGCTCGGGTGTCCATTTGTGTGTGTGTGTGTGTGTGTGTGTGTGTGTGTGTGTCTGCGGGTTGTATGTCTCCGAGGGTGTGTATCTGTGAGTCCACGGCAGGTTGCTGGCTTGGGGGCTGAGGCTCGGCGCCCAGGCCTCGGTGTGGATTTGGGGGAGGGGAGTTCGCCGCTCCCTCGGTCCATGTCAACTGGGGGGTCCTTAGCGGTCCTGGGGGAAGCGGCCATGTCTTCCCCTTCCCGGTGGTTGCGGGGGGGGGATGGGCGGCCAGGAGGTGGACAGATGGAGGGGGGATGAGAGGCCGAGAAATGGACAGATGGGCCCTGAGGTGGGGGTTGGGGGGCGAAGACCCGGCCCTTCCCCACCCACTCCACCCTAATTCCCCCACCGGCCAGACATCTGCAGACGGAGCCAGAGTTACCTCCATCCTGATGGCCAGGCTGGGGAACCTTTGGGGCTGCTGGTGGGAGGATCTCCTTGAAACGGTGATCTAGGACTCAAACCCCCAAATCCTCTTGAGTTTCCACCTGCTGAACTCTGACCTCTGGCCTGGCTTTTGCCCTGGTTTTTTGGGGGTGTGGAGGGCAGGATGCTGAATGTGCTGCAGGGATGTTAGGATTTCTTGGGCCTGGGAAGTAAGTAGGTGGGGTGGTGGGGGGGTGCCTCAGGGCTGGGAGGAATGTGTGTCCAAGACTGTGTGAGTGTGAATCTGGGCCTGTCTACTGACTGTGCTACTGTGGTTCAGTATTTTCTATGCATTTGGAAGTGTGTAAATCACAGGACTGTTGTGTGAGCATGTGTCTGTTATGAGTGAACATCTTGGCGTGTCTGCAAAGGTGGATCTTTTTGTGCCTGTGTGCGTGTTCCAGTGTGGATCAGCCTCGTATCTGTATGCTTGTGGTTTTGTGTGTGTGTGTGTGTGTGTGAGGTATGTATCTGTTAGCGTGGTGCTGTATCAACTTTGCAACATGGAGATGTGTGAAGTATGAGTGTGTCTAGGCATTTAAGAGTGTGCACTTGTGTATGTTTGCACAGGTGTGTGTGTGTTTGTTAGATGTGTGTGCCCCTGTGTGCTGGTGAGTGTGCAAGGTAGATCTGTTGTAAATGCATGTACCTGGTTGTCTGTTAGGGGGCACATGAGTTTCTCTGTTGTATCTGTGCATTTGTGTGTGTGAACTTGCATGGCAGAGTCAGTGTTGTACATGTATTGTTGCATGCAGGTGTGTCAACCTTGAGGGTATGTATCCATCTATGTTGTGAGTCTGTTTGTGTTTTGGTGTTGGTCTCTGGGGGTTGTGTATGTTCAGACATGTATGTGAAAGACACATGTGTCTGTGCCCTGGCACAAGGCTGTCCCTACTCTTGGGTTCAGTGGGTTTGAGGCCCATGTGGCATGACCTCTGGTATACTGGGGTCCCGCCTGGGGTCCCTGGACACAGTGTGTCCATATGCCAGGCCAAGTGCCCATAGAGGGCGGAGGGCACACAGATCATGTTGCTATGTTCATAGAAATCCAGATGTAGAGACTTGGGTTGTGGGCTTGCGTGGGTTCTGACATGGACACACATGTTGGTGTGGGCAATAGTATCATGGCAAGGATGGGAAACTTTGGCCCTTCCCCAGCTCTTGGTACCGTTCAGGACTTTGGAGTTGAGGGGCTGGGATGTAAACTCTTGGGTTCTAATGGAGGGCCAGAGGTCTGGTCTGGACTCTTGGGTCAGAGGGAAGAGGGGGCTGGGGTTCTTGGCTCCTGAAACCCCAGAGGACAAAGGGCTAAAGTCCTCGACTCCTGGGCTTTGGAGGGTGAACAACCCTGAGGCCTAATCTAGGATTCCAGAGAGGACTTCTGGGTTCCTGTGAGACTATGCAAAACCCGCCACAGGAGGACTGAGAGCGTGATCACACCAGGGACTTCCTTGGCCGGGATGGTCTCCAAGGCAAGATCTGGTGCACAGAGAAGAGCCAGAACGATGCTAACAAGGTGGTTCTGTTCCTTTGCAGGTGCTGGCCCAGGCCCTGACTCCCTGAAGAGAGGTGAGTAGAGCCGTAAGGCTTCAGAGAGAGAGAGACATGGGGGGTGATGGGGCTTGCTGTCAGCCAGCTGGGGGTCTGGAACCCTGCCTCGCATGGATTTCAGTTCAGGGGATGACAGTTTCCTGAAGGACCAGTTGCCCACCACTCTGTCCAAGGCTGGGGAGTGGTGACAAGGTCAGGAACATCAAAGTTGGGTGAGGGCTTGTGGTGGCCAGGTGGCTCTGGGGAGCAGGTGGGGGGTTTCAGGCCAAGAGACATTCATTCTCAGGATGGTTAAGGTGTTTGGGAAAGCAAGGTTTCCTCATGATATCAGTAAAGGATACAAGAATATGTCAAGATATGAAATGACCCCTGCATTTAGAGGGTTGAGTGAATATGTTTGCCCATTTTGTATGTGCGTGTGCATGGGTGTGGGAAGATCTCCCGATAGCCTGACCTCCTGGTGGCTGAGAAAGCTGGAGAAAATAATAAATTAGTAATAATAATAGTAATAATAATAATGATAATAGCAGCAGCTCACATGTATATAGTGTTTACTTTGTCAGGAACTATTCTAAGCATGTCATAAAATATTATCTCATTAAATCCTCATAGCAACCTTATGAGGTGGGTGCCATTATTATTCCCATTTGACAGATGAGCACACCGAGGCACAGAAAGGGGAAGTCACTTGATTAAAGTCACACAGTGGGGAGGTGAGGTCTGAACCCAGGCAGTAGGGCGGATTCTGTCCTGCAGTGCTGCACCACTCTCCATAAATGTTAGCTATTTCCATTGCTATTATTATTCCCTCCATTTGAGTCCTACCCCAGCTGTCGGAGGCGAGGCTCTGGACTTCTGTTTCATAGACTGGGATTCTGAGCCCTGAAGACCCCACAGCCAAGCAGGGGCAGACTCAGGCTCCTAATTCTGGAGTCCCCCTTTCTAGGCCAGGGTTTCCAGTACATTGTAGAGTAGTGATCTAGAGGGAGTGAAGGACAGATTTGGGGTGAACTCAGAGATGGTAGGACACCCCGATCCGGCCTCTTTTTCCGCCTTCAGCCCGGTCATTGTCTCTCTTACTCTCTGTCTCTTTCCTCCTCTGTCTTTTTCTCTCTAATACTGTCTCTATTTTTCTCTCCATCTCTGTGTCTTTTTTCTGTGTCTCTCTCTTTTCTGTGTCTCATTCTTCACTCTCAGTTTTCTGTCTGTTCACCTTCCTTTCAGACTCATCTTTTTGTCTCTCTGTTTCTCTCCCAATCTGTCTCTCTCTCTTTGCCAGTCCACTTCTCCCTCCCCCTGGTCTCTCCTTGTCTCTCTTCACCTCTGTCTCTGACTTTCCTGGTCTCTGTCCCAGGCCCCCTCCCCACTGGCAGGAAGATCAAAGCCACCTAAGGCCGTAGCCCCAAACACAGATTCCTGGGAGGTAGGCCAGCAGGGGCTAGGGTACAGGGCAGGGTGGGGTGAAAACAGTTTTAGGGACGCCCCCTTCCCATCCTTTCCTCTTCACCCCCCGCCCACCCTGTGTTGTGATGGGAACTGACATGTCGTGGGCTGCAGCCGCCGCAGGGGGAATCCCTGCCGGAAGGTTTTGCCTGGAGCAGAGACATAGCGTGAGTGTGTGAGTGTGTGAGTGTGTGTGTGTGTGTTGTGTGTACCCAAAGATGTGAGCATGAAAGTCTGCCTTGCTTGGGAGCTCAACTGAGCCCAGGATGAAACCAGACCTCAGAGAAGGCCTTCCTGAGGCTGAACTGGAAGACTCTGATGTGTTTTCCTCAGTCCCTCCCACTTTGACACTCTCCCTGCCAATGCCAGAGGCGGGAGGGGGGAAACCCTTAACATTTATTGAGTACTTACTGTATGCCAGGCATGGTCGGTGGTACATGAATGAAGATGGTACAATTATCATCCCAATTTACAGATTAAGAAATTACAGCCTAGCTAGGGGAAATCATTGGCTTGGGGGTCACAGAGCTAGCAAAAGGGGAATCAGGATTTGAACCTGAGTCTGTTTGATTTCAAAGTACTTACTCTCAATAATAGGGCACTGTTCTATGCCTGGTACATATTAAGCACTTGATGATCATGATGATGATTGCTAACATGTAATAAGCACATTTTATATGCCTGGCACTATTCTAAGTATGCTATGTTCATCAATACATTTAATCCTCACAGAAGTAAGGCCTGTTTCTATCTCCCTTTTACAGATGAAGAAACCGAGAATCAGAGAGGTTCAGATACTTGCTGGAGGTCACACAGCTAGTAAGTATCAGAGCTGGGATTTGGAGCTAGGGAGTATGGCTTGGATAGCCAGGGCCTTAAACCATAGTTAACAGTGATTTTTTAGACAATTTAGTGGGTACTGGAGGGCCCAGGTTGGGCCAGGTGTCACCCCTCTGGTTGGGAGATCATGAGAGGTTTGGGAGCTACTACAGGAGGGGCAGAGGTGAGGGTGGGACACGCAAGTAGGGACAGGGGTATTCTATCAACCAGTATAGAGATATTTTTATTTTTATTTATGTTTTAAGATGGAGTCTTGCTCTGTCGCCCAGACTGGATTGCAATGGTGTGATCTCGGCTCACTGCAACCTCCACCTCCCTGGTTCAAGCGATTCTCGTGCTTCAGCCTCCCAAGTAGCTGGGATTACAGGCGCCCACCACCATGCCCAGCTAATTTTTGTATTTTTAGTAGAGACGGGGTTTCACCATGTTGGCCAGGCTGGTCTTGAACTCCTGACCTCAGGTGATCCGCCTGCCTCGGCCTCCCAAAGTGCTGGGATTACAGGCGTGAGCCACTGTGCCCAGCATGGAAGTGTTGTAATCTGTTGTTAATAGCTGATAGTGGCTTCCTCTCACCATCCTATGGAACCCAGCTGTAGGCGGTAGGGGAGGGATCCAGGCCTGACTCGTAGCAGGACATCCCATGGCGGCCAAGTCCCACGCCTGGGTAACCGGCTCCTTCCCCGGCAGGTCTCACCTCCCACCCCTCCTGCCTTCCCACTGCACCATGGCTCCAGGACCCTTCTCCTCGGCCCTCCTCTCGCCGCCGCCCGCTGCCCTGCCCTTTCTGCTGCTGCTCTGGGCGGGGGCATCTCGTGGCCAGCCCTGCCCCGGCCGCTGCATCTGCCAGAACGTGGCGCCCACACTGACAATGCTGTGCGCCAAGACCGGCTTGCTCTTTGTGCCGCCCGCCATCGACCGGCGCGTGGTGGAGCTGCGGCTCACCGACAACTTCATCGCCGCCGTGCGCCGCCGAGACTTCGCCAACATGACCAGCCTGGTGCACCTCACTCTCTCCCGGAACACCATCGGCCAGGTGGCAGCTGGCGCCTTCGCCGACCTGCGTGCCCTCCGGGCCCTGCACCTGGACAGCAACCGCCTGGCGGAGGTGCGCGGCGACCAGCTCCGCGGCCTGGGCAACCTCCGCCACCTGATCCTTGGAAACAACCAGATCCGCCGGGTGGAGTCGGCGGCCTTTGACGCCTTCCTGTCCACCGTGGAGGACCTGGATCTGTCCTACAACAACCTGGAGGCCCTGCCGTGGGAGGCGGTGGGCCAGATGGTGAACCTAAACACCCTCACGCTGGACCACAACCTCATCGACCACATCGCGGAGGGGACCTTCGTGCAGCTTCACAAGCTGGTCCGTCTGGACATGACCTCCAACCGCCTGCATAAACTCCCGCCCGACGGGCTCTTCCTGAGGTCGCAGGGCACCGGGCCCAAGCCGCCCACCCCGCTGACCGTCAGCTTCGGCGGCAACCCCCTGCACTGCAACTGCGAGCTGCTCTGGCTGCGGCGGCTGACCCGCGAGGACGACTTAGAGACCTGCGCCACGCCCGAACACCTCACCGACCGCTACTTCTGGTCCATCCCCGAGGAGGAGTTCCTGTGTGAGCCCCCGCTGATCACACGGCAGGCGGGGGGCCGGGCCCTGGTGGTGGAAGGCCAGGCGGTGAGCCTGCGCTGCCGAGCGGTGGGTGACCCCGAGCCGGTGGTGCACTGGGTGGCACCTGATGGGCGGCTGCTGGGGAACTCCAGCCGGACCCGGGTCCGGGGGGACGGGACGCTGGATGTGACCATCACCACCTTGAGGGACAGTGGCACCTTCACTTGTATCGCCTCCAATGCTGCTGGGGAAGCGACGGCGCCCGTGGAGGTGTGCGTGGTACCTCTGCCTCTGATGGCACCCCCGCCGGCTGCCCCGCCGCCTCTCACCGAGCCCGGCTCCTCTGACATCGCCACGCCGGGCAGACCAGGTGCCAACGATTCTGCGGCTGAGCGTCGGCTCGTGGCAGCCGAGCTCACCTCGAACTCCGTGCTCATCCGCTGGCCAGCCCAGAGGCCTGTGCCCGGAATACGCATGTACCAGGTTCAGTACAACAGTTCCGTTGATGACTCCCTCGTCTACAGGTGGGTGCGGGTGCTGCAGTCCCAGGGCCTCCTCCCAAGCCCAGGGGGACCCTCCCTCCCACCTGCCCATTCCCTTGGCCTTCTTGCTCAGCCAGGGTTCTAGATGGCTGTGAGAGCTGTTCCCGCCCTCCTTTGCCCTGTCTCCTCTCTCTATTTCTCACTGTCTCTGTTTTTCGTGCTTATAGAAAATATTCGCTGAGCACCTACATGAACCCGACCAGGGCTGGGCACTGGAGTCCTAACAGTGACTGAGCTCAGCATGAACCCTGCCCTCATGGGGCTCATGGTCGATATCACTGCTCCCCACAACAATCTGATTGTGCACCTCTTCAGTTAAACATTTTGGAGCATGAAACACACACACACATTTACAGTGACATTTATTTATTTGTTTGTTTTGAGACTGAGCCTTACTCTATTGCCCAGGCTGGAGTGCAGTGGCACGAACTCAGCTCACTGAAACCCTCCGCCTCCCGGGTTCAAGCGAATCTCGTCCCTCAGCCTCCCAAGTAGCTGGGATTACAGATACCCACCAACACACCCAGCTAAGTTTTGTATTTTTAGTAGAGACAGGATTTTACCATGTTGGGCAGGCTGGTCTTGAACTCCTGACCTCAAGTGATCCGCCTGCCTTGGCCTCCTAAATTGCTGGGATTACAGGTGTGAGCCACCGTGCCTAGCCTACAGCGACATTTATATTTATAAATTATATACCAGTACTACTGAACCAACACATTGGGTACATTACAGAAACAGAAAACAAAACGTATGAGAAAAATATGTTATTTCCACCCTCACTTGGGTTTGAAGCCATTGCCCTGGTGGGGACAGACCATACGGTGTCAACAGACATTTTAAAAAAAGAGTTATTTTCTCCCATCGCCTCCTTATTTCTCCTTTCACCTCTCTGTCTGTCTCTACCTTCTCTGCCCTCGTTAGGCACAGAGCCCCTGCTTTGTGCAAACTCCTGAGCTGGGTGCTGGGGACACAGGGAAACCACCCAGACCCTGTCCTCAGGGAGCTTATAGCCCAGTAGGTCGTGGTCCATAGTACACTATGAGTTGCAGTCCTGGCCTTGCCATGTCTCTCCATCTCAGTAGTTTTTTTTTTTCTTTTTCTTTTTTTTTTTTGGCAGGGTCTTGCTCTGTCACCCCAGGCTGGAGTGCAGTGGTATGATCATAGCTCACTGCAGCCTCAAACTTTTGGGCTCCAAGCAATCCTCCTACCTCCTGAGAGTAGCTGGGACTATAGGTGTGCACCACCACACTGGGCTAATTTAAAAAAATTTTTAGTAGAGATGAGGTCTTGCTATATTGCCCAGACAGGTCTTGAACTCCTGGGCTGAAGTGATCCTCCTGCCTTGGCCTCCCAAAGTGCTGGGATTACAGGTGTGAGCCGCTGCACCTGGCCCATCTTGGTAGTTTTTTAGTATGGCTCTCTGCCACAGAATTGTCACACAGTAGGCACTTGATAAATGGTAGTTTGCCACATGGATGTCTCTCCTTCTAGCTCTGCCTCCCTCATGCACATTGTAGAGCACCAGTTAAATGCTTCAGTCATCTGCTTGGCTTCACCTGGAGATGCCAGCGGGGCTGGAGCTGTTTCCCTACCTGTGGAGAGCCCCAGCTCCTGGCTGTCAGATCTTCACCGAGAAACCTGCCTCTTGGCCTCCATCTCTGCCTTTCCAGTGTTTTCTTGGCCATAGGTGTGGCACATAGTAGGTGCTTTCCCAGTGTTGGTTGAATGAAAAAAATGCCTCTTGGCCGGGCGCGATGGCTCATGCCTATAATCCCAGCATTTTGGGAGGCTGAGGCGGGCGGATCACTTGAGGTCAGGAGTTCAAGACCAGCCTGGCCAACATGGTGAAACCCTGTCTCTACGGAAAATACAAAAATTAGGCAGATGTGGTGGCACGTGCCTGTAATCCCAGCTACTCAGGAGGCTGAGGCAGGAGAATCGCTTGAACCTGGGAGGCGGAGGTTGCAGTGAGCGGAGATTGCGCCATTGGGTGACAGAGCGAGACTCCCTCTGGAAAAAAAAAAAAAAAAAAAAAAAGCCTCCCTTTTCTTTTGTCTCTGTCTTCCTCATTTCCCTCTCTTTTTGATTCTGGTCCCAAACACTGAGTAGATGCCTACTGTGTGCCCATCTTGTGTTGGGCCCTGGGCCTACTGAGATAGGTTAGATCCTGGCCCAGCCTTACAAACATGAGGACAAACAAATGAACAAAACACAAACCTTCACAACGAACTTCCAAGCTTGATCTTCCCAGCTCCGCTATGAAGGCGTGATGACCCCCTCTCCATTTCAAAGACAGAAAAACTGAGGTTCAGTGGGGGATGTCACTTGCCCAAGGTCACACAGAAAGTAGCAAAGCTGTCCTTTATACACTGACACACATTTGTTGGGCACCCACTGCTTGGAAGGGAGATGGATAATATATTTCTGTAAATAATTCTGAGCTTCTGTGACTCTCCACTTCTCTGTCCCTCTCTTTCCTTTGCTCTGAGCCATGGCCACCACATGGTGGGGTGGGGGAGGTTCACAAGCCCCCAGACCCTGCATGGATGCAGATGTTGATGGCCCCCTGTCCCCAGCTGGGCAACAGACCCTGGGACTCTTCTCTTCCCTGTAGGGCCCCAGTTCCAGTTCTCCAACCCCCATTGCAGATTCCTATGCTATGGTGCCGCAGGGGTTAACTTCCTCACGCTGTCATGGGCGGAGGTGGCAGCCAACCAGAAGCCTGCTTAGCTGCTTGCTTTAATTCTGCAGCCAATTAGAGACACTTGGGCTGAAGCTTTCTTAAGGAGCCAGCCTCTGTCCTTGAAAAGGGGTGGGGGAAGCCCCTAGCAACTGGCTATTTAGGGGAAGGAGCAAGTGGAATCCAGGGCTCTGGAGAGGAGAGATGAAGAGAGGAGGAGGAAGGCTTAAAGCCAGGGCAGCCGAGGGTGGCTGGGGTGGGTGGCAGTGGTCTTTGAAATGGCAGTCAGGGGTGGGTAGAGTGGAGTTGGAGAAGTGGGTGGACCTTTATGAAGGGGCGGGGCCCTGATTGGAAGTCTTTTGGTGGGAGGGTGGCTCTTGGTAGTGGGAGAACCTCCTGGAGGTGGGATGACAGAGGTGGAGCTTCAGGGCCAGAAGGTGGCTCTGCTGGAGGGGAAGCGGAAGCATCGGAGAGATAAGCAGGCCTTCGGAGGTGGGGATGTGGCCTGTCAGAGGGGGTGGAGCTTGTTCTGCATGGTCCCACGAAGAGGAAGGGGCAGTCCTTGTCTCCCGGGACCCACCAAGAGTCTTTGCTGGAGAAGAGAGCTTGTGAGGTTGCATCCTGGCCATGCCAATCAATGTGGAACGGGCAGTCCAGGTTTAGCTGAGGCTGGACATGGCCCACAGTGTGGAAACGATGTGCTCAACAGAAGAGGGCCAAGGCCTAGCAGGAATGGCCCTCCAGAGGGGTAGATCTTATAGATGGGAGGAATGCAATGGGCTGGATAGTGTGAGCCACAGCAAGGGTTACTGGCCAACACGAGGTGTGATGCAAGCTAATGATGATATCATTAAGTGCCAGGTCCTGGCTGTGTTAACTCATTCATTCCTCACACCATCTCTATGATGTAGGAATTATTATCATCCCCATTTGGGGAAAATGAGACACAGGGAGGTTAAGAAACTTGGCGAAGTTCGCCGGGCGTGGTGGTTCATGACTGTAATCCCAGCACTTTGGGAGATCGAGGCGGATGGATCACCTGAGGTCAGAAGTTTGAGACCAGCTTGGCCAACGTGGCGAAACCCCATCTCTACTAAAAATACAAAAATTAGCCAGGTGTGGTGGTGGGTGCCTGTAATCTCAGCTGTCCGGGAGGCTGAGGCAGGAGAATCACTTGAACCCGGAAGGCAGAGATTGCAGTGAGCCGAGATCGCGTCATTGTACTCCAGCCTGGGTGACACAGCGAGAGTCTGTCTCAAACAAAACAAAATGAAACAAAAGAGAAACTTGCCTGAGGTCACAGAGCAAGCAAGTGGCAGAGGAGAGACTCAAACCCGGGCAATCTGGCCCCCAGCCTTTGTCATCTTAACCACTTCTCTACACTAGTCTTCATTCGAGGGGAGGGGCCTACAGCAAGAAAGGAATATGGTGTGTGCTTGGCTACGTTTGACCCCTTTACGGAAGAAACTTACCTGGTAGCGTGATTTGGTGACTTCTGGTGGCACATGAACATATGAGGTGGTTGCCTTTAATATCTGGACAAGGAGCAGGGCCTGTAGTCTGGATGTGGCCTATACACAGTAGGGGAACCATCCTTAGTGGGCCATTGTGGGGTGTGCCTGGAAGCCACATTTCATTTGGTTGGGGAATGGCCTGTAGCAATGTCAGGGAACATGTAGTTAAGGGACTTGGAAACTGTTCCAGGACATAGACAAAGCTAGATGGTTTTTTTTTTTTTTTTTTTTTTTTTTTTTGGTTTGTTTGTTTTTTGAGACAGAGTCTCGGTCTTGCGGTCTTGTAGCCCAAGCTAGAGTGCAATGATGTGGTCTCGGCTCACTGCAACCTCCACCTCCCGGGTTCAAGCGATTTTCCTGCCTCAGCCTCCCGAGTAGCTAGGATTACAGGTGCCTGCCACCACGCCTGGCTAATTTTTGTATTTTTAATAGAGACAGGGTTACCATGTTGGCCAGGCCAGTCTTGAACTCCTAACCTCAGGTGATCCACCCTTCTTAGCCTTCCAAAGTGTTGGGATTACAGGCGTGAGCCACTGCAGCCGGCCAAAGCTAGATGTTTTACCCAAAGGTGCTGCATGCAGATAAGGGGGAGCGACCTGCATCATGGTTTTCCCTGAAAGGCAGGAATATGTATAAAAGAGGAACTAGAAGAGCATCCATTGTTCCAGTAGGAATATGACAGGCGCTGTGAGCTGACCTTAGTGTCCACCTGAGTGGGGGATGGGGCATGCAGAAAAGGGGAGGTGGCCAGTAGCGTTGGCCCAGTTTTGGGGTAGAAATGCCTAGATGAAGGACCTTGAATGGCAGTTGTCCTAGCAAGAGTGAGACATAGCTAGGGAGCATGTCCCTTGAGGGCAGGGCTTAAAAGCCATAGCACTTCTCCCCTGCAGGGGCCGGGATATGCAGAGGAGGTAATACGAATGATAGATATATTGTCCCAGTGGGTGATGGGACACAGCCAGGAGGTGGGTCTGAGGGCGGGGCATACAGATGAGGGGTGTGAAAGGGTGGGAATATGTTGATGGAGGCGGGGCTTGAATTGCTGCTGTTGTCTCAGTAGCGGCTGAGACTTCGATAGCAGGGTTTAGTCCCCACTGTTCACCATGGGCGGGGCATAAAGCGAAGGGGCGTGGTTCGGGGGGACTAACCCCGCCCTGAACCCGCCCCCTCCTACAGGATGATCCCGTCCACCAGTCAGACCTTCCTGGTGAATGACCTGGCGGCGGGCCGTGCCTACGACTTGTGCGTGCTGGCGGTCTACGACGACGGGGCCACAGCGCTGCCGGCAACGCGAGTGGTGGGCTGTGTACAGTTCACCACCGCTGGGGATCCGGCGCCCTGCCGCCCGCTGAGGGCCCATTTCTTGGGCGGCACCATGATCATCGCCATCGGGGGCGTCATCGTCGCCTCGGTCCTCGTCTTCATCGTTCTGCTCATGATCCGCTATAAGGTGTATGGCGACGGGGACAGCCGCCGCGTCAAGGGCTCCAGGTCGCTCCCGCGGGTCAGCCACGTGTGCTCGCAGACCAACGGCGCAGGCACAGGCGCGGCACAGGCCCCGGCCCTGCCGGCCCAGGACCACTACGAGGCGCTGCGCGAGGTGGAGTCCCAGGCTGCCCCCGCCGTCGCCGTCGAGGCCAAGGCCATGGAGGCCGAGACGGCATCCGCGGAGCCGGAGGTGGTCCTTGGACGTTCTCTGGGCGGCTCGGCCACCTCGCTGTGCCTGCTGCCATCCGAGGAAACTTCCGGGGAGGAGTCTCGGGCCGCGGTGGGCCCTCGAAGGAGCCGATCCGGCGCCCTGGAGCCACCAACCTCGGCGCCCCCTACTCTAGCTCTAGTTCCTGGGGGAGCCGCGGCCCGGCCGAGGCCGCAGCAGCGCTATTCGTTCGACGGGGACTACGGGGCACTATTCCAGAGCCACAGTTACCCGCGCCGCGCCCGGCGGACAAAGCGCCACCGGTCCACGCCGCACCTGGACGGGGCTGGAGGGGGCGCGGCCGGGGAGGATGGAGACCTGGGGCTGGGCTCCGCCAGGGCGTGCCTGGCTTTCACCAGCACCGAGTGGATGCTGGAGAGTACCGTGTGAGCGGCGGGCGGGCGCCGGGACGCCTGGGTGCCGCAGACCAAACGCCCAGCCGCACGGACGCTGGGGCGGGACTGGGAGAAAGCGCAGCGCCAAGACATTGGACCAGAGTGGAGACGCGCCCTTGTCCCCGGGAGGGGGCGGGGCAGCCTCGGGCTGCGGCTCGAGGCCACGCCCCCGTGCCCAGGGCGGGGTTCGGGGACCGGCTGCCGGCCTCCCTTCCCCTATGGACTCCTCGACCCCCCTCCTACCCCTCCCCTCGCGCGCTCGCGGACCTCGCTGGAGCCGGTGCCTTACACAGCGAAGCGCGGGGAGGGGCAGGGCCCCCTGACACTGCAGCACTGAGACACGAGCCCCCTCCCCCAGCCCGTCACCCGGGGCCGGGGCGAGGGGCCCATTTCTTGTATCTGGCTGGACTAGATCCTATTCTGTCCCGCGGCGGCCTCCAAAGCCTCCCACCCCACCCCACGCACATTCCTGGTCCGGTCGGGTCTGGCTTGGGGTCCCCCTTTCTCTGTTTCCCTCGTTTGTCTCTATCCCGCCCTCTTGTCGTCTCTCTGTAGTGCCTGTCTTTCCCTATTTGCCTCTCCTTTCTCTCTGTCCTGTCGTCTCTTGTCCCTCGGCCCTCCCTGGTTTTGTCTAGTCTCCCTGTCTCTCCTGATTTCTTCTCTTTACTCATTCTCCCGGGCAGGTCCCACTGGAAGGACCAGACTCTCCCAAATAAATCCCCACACGAACAAAATCCAAAACCAAATCCCCCTCCCTACCGGAGCCGGGACCCTCCGCCGCAGCAGAATTAAACTTTTTTCTGTGTCTGAGGCCCTGCTGACCTGTGTGTGTGTCTGTATGTGTGTCCGCGTGTAGTGTGTGTGTGTGTGTGTGTGTGTGTGTGTGTGTGTGTGTGTTGGGGGAGGGTGACCTAGATTGCAGCATAAGGACTCTAAGTGAGACTGAAGGAAGATGGGAAGATGACTAACTGGGGCCGGAGGAGACTGGCAGACAGGCTTTTATCCTCTGAGAGACTTAGAGGTGGGGAATAATCACAAAAATAAAATGATCATAATAGCTAACGCTTAGTGAATACTTACTTACTATGTGCCAAGCACTTAAGTCATTTAATTCTCACAACACCAGGACATATCGGTATTATTATCCTGTTTTCCAGATGAGGGAATTTTGGCCCAGAAAAGTTAAATAACTGGCCCAAGGTGGTAAAACTGGGATTTAAAAAGGCAGGCAGGCCAACTTCTGAGTCTCTACTATAGGGGTGAAAAGACAGCTTCCCCTTCACTCTCTGAAATTTCACTGGAATGGGCTGACAATAGATTAACAAGAGAAAAGGAATATGGAGGGTATTTAACATGCACTAGGAAAATCACAGGAAAGTGATTACCCAATAACCCAGTGAGGTTTATATACTTATATACCTTTCTTCACAGGAGGGGAGATGGGGAAAGGAAGGCAATTTTGAGGGGTAATAAATGATTTTGGGGAAAATAAATGGGTCCAGGAGATAGAATTTAGCTTGTAAATGTCTCTGGAATTTGAGACTGACAGACAGATAATTTCTTGTGACAAAGTCCGTCCAGGTGTAGACATTTCTCTGTCTTTTTTTCCTGTTAAAGATAATGAAATGTCAGGGAGAGGACAGAAGGCACTTGTGTTCTTTTTGATCTTTAGGCAGATAAGAAGACATAGGAGGAAAGCCTCTTCCAGCATCTATGGATCTCTAAGTGCCTTTAATTTAAAATAATCAGCATACCAGGGTGCCATATTTTGGGGTGACATTCCCTGAACTCCTTTAATACTCAACTAGAGCACTGTACTGCTGAGCAGTTATTGAATATTCATTCCACCCTCTGAGACCTCACAACTCAGTGGGGTAGGGTAGATCTATCCTTGGTCCCATTTTACAGACAAGAACCTGAACCACAGAGAGATGAAGTCACTTGCCGTAGTCCCTCCATCCCCCCAATGAATAAATAGCGGAGCTGGAAGTTTGATTGTACCCCTACACTATGCTGCCTCTGGGGTCTGTGTCCGGAAGCTGGGGTATGGCCCCCATGAGCTTAGCTGAGCTTGGATATCCACAGCTAGCCTGGTGAGCTCAGGGACAAGACCTCTTGTGTCGCTCTGCCTGGAATCTGAGGGACCCTGGCGGAGGGCATGGAGGATGGTGTGGGGAGAGGAGTTTCTCAGGTGAGGCTGAGGGCTGTGGCTGGGGAAGGAAAGCTGGTTGGGGAGAGGAGAGGGACAGACATCCCAGTCCTTGCAGGGGCCCTGCAGTGATAACACCTTCCTGATCTTGGGGAAGAAGGAGGAAGGCTTCTTGCCAGCCAGGGGCCCCCTGAGGCCAGGGGAGGAGGAGAGAAAGACAGAAATAGAAACGGAGCAGGAGGGAGGGGGATGGATCTAGGCAGACAGGGTGGGAGGCTGCTAGGACAGAGGCACCAGAGAATCACAGGCCAGGAGGCTTCCTCACCCAGGAGCCCAACCACCCTCATTTGTGTCAGTCATGACGACTCCTAGGTACTGAGGGCTTTTCACAAGCCAGGCACAGTGCTCCCAAACCCTCCCTGATGCACGGATAAAGAGCATGCAACCCAGTGCATGGCACATAATGCTTAGGAAATGGAGTTACTCCAATAATAAGTATGACTGCATTTAAAGCCTGCACAGGTATATGCAGTGTGTGCACACAATTTTCAAGATGAGGAAACTGAAGCTCAGAGAGGTTAAGGAGCATCTCCAAGATCACACAGCCAGTTAACAGCAGAGCCATGATTGGAAAGCTGACTGCCTCCAACCTGCACACAGAACCATCAGGAATCTTGTCTCTAATTCACTTGATAAAGCATTATTGAGCATGTATTATGTAACTGGTCCTATGTAGGGGCTATCGCAGTGAACAAAATAGATGAAACAAAACAAGAAAGCCCTGCTCCGTGGTGCCTATATTCTAGAGGGAGGAGAAATAAACAAATAAGCAATTAAATGAGTCCAGGAGGTTGAGGCTGCAATGAGCCCTGATTGCACCACTGCACTCCAGCCTGTGTGGCAGAGTGAGACCCAAAAAACAAGCAAACAAAAACGAGTAAATAATGCATGTCCAGTGGCAAATAAATGTTGTGCCAAGAATGAAAACAGGATGATGGCATAGAGAATGACTTTGAGGCCTACTTTAGGTGGGAGGGTGAAGGATGGTGATGACAGAGCTAAATAAATGCATTGTGAGAAAAGCAGGGAAAAGCATTCCTGGCAAAGGGAACAGCATGTGCAAAGACCCTTAGGAAGTAGTGTGCTTGATGTGTTGGAGGCAGTGTGTCTGGACTGAAGTGGGAAGAGTGAGAGGAGAGTAGGTGGGAGAAGCAAGTGGGTTCTACAGAACCTTGTGAGGTGTGGTCAAGAGTTAACATTTTATTCTTTGGGGCCATGGGAAGCCAATGAAGGGTCTTTACCAGGGGTGGTATGTGGTCTGATTTCTATGGAGACCCCAGCTTTGGGGTGAGGTATGCCTACCTTCAAAACAGAATTGGGGGTGGGTGCAGTGACTGACACGTAATCCCAGCACTTTGGGAGGCCAAGGTGGGAGGATCGCCTGAGGTCAGGAGTTCGAGACCAGGCTCGCCAACATGGTGAAACCCTATCTCTACTAAAAATACAAAAATCAGCTGGGCATGGTGGGTGCCTGTGATTTCAGCTACTTGAAAGGCTGAGGCAGGAGAATCACTTGAGATTACATCACTGCATTCCAGCCTGGGTGACAGAGTGAGACTCCGTCTCAAAAATAAAAAAAAAAAGAAAAAGTTGTGGGGTGATTGCAAAGCTACAAGGAACAGAGCTTTAGAGAAAGGAACCCAGACTCAACCCCACCAAGACACTCTCCCTACACAGCTCTCTTCTCTGCTTGGCTCAGCTCAGACTCATCCCTTTCAACTGCATGTGGCGGGGGAAAATGGTCATTTATTTACAGACACAGACTCAATCTTTCCAGAGCCCAGAGATAAAATGGCAGAATCTCTAGTCCTAAGAGAAAAATCTCAGGGAAGAGCTCTTATCGGCCTGGCCGAGGTCACATAGCAACCCCTGCACTGATTGCCGCATCCAAGGGAATGAATGGAATGCTTTGATTGGCCAGGTAGGGGGTGGGTGGGTCCTATGTCCCGGTTGTGTGTCCTGGGAAGTAGGGATTGCTAAATATTAGGTTGAACCACATGAACTTGCCATTTTTGTAGGTCACACATTGTATAGTATTGGCAATTTTATGTGGTTGAAGGTAAATACTCTCCAGAAAAAGTAGGATAAGAAATCTTGTTGGCTGGGTGTGGTGGCTCATACCTGTAATTCCAGAACTTTGGGAGGCCAAGGTGGGATGATCACTTGAGGCTAGGAGCTTGAGACCAGCCTGGGCAACATGGCGAGACTCTGTCTCTACAAAAATAAAAATAAAAAATTAGCCAAGCATGGTGGTGTGTACGTGTAGTCCCAGTTACTCAGGAGGTGGTCTTGAGCCCAGGAGTTTGAGGCAGCAGTGAGCTATGATTGAGCCACTGCACTCCAGCCTGGATGACAGAGCAAGATCTTAAAAAAAAATAAAACAAAGAAAGCTTGTTGCTGTAATATGCTAGTCTCAAAAAAGAAAAAAAAATAAGAAAGCTTGTTGAGCATATAAAAGCAATAGAGGCTGGACACAGTGGCTCATGCCTGTAATCCCAGCACTTTGGGAGGCTGAGGCGGGTGGATCACCTGAGGTCAGGAGTTCGAGACCAGCCTGGCCAACATGGTAAAATCCTGTCTCTACTAAAAGTACAAAAATTAGCCATGCATGGTGGCGGGTGCCTGTAATCCCAGCTACTCAGGAGGATGAGGCACGAGAATCACTTGAACCTGGGAGGTGGAGGTTGCAGTGAGCCAAGATCGCACCACTGCACTCCAGCCTGGGTGACAGAACTAGACTCTGTCTCAAAAAAAAAAAAAAAAAAAAAAAATATATATATATATATATATACACAAATATATATATATATACACACATATATATATATATATACACATATATATATATATATACACACATATATATATAAAATAAAAAATAAAGCAATAGAAACCCCGGTGTACTATGCAGAAGGATTTTTGGAGGAGGAAGTGATATTGTGGAAATGAGCCAGGTGAAGACTTGGTCGTGGGAGAGTGGTGGGAACTGTCCTAAGCAGAGGGAACCACTTAAGCAAAGGCCACCATGAGAGAGGACAAGGAAAACTTGTTACTGTGCTCTGGAGATGGAGTGCTTGCTCTAATTGATCAAATTGGAGTCATGTGTCCAGCCAAATGAGGGAGTAGGAAAGGAGGTCATTTCCGAAGGAAAATTGAAGCACTGTTACCAGGAGTAATGGATGCTGCTCAGGCAAAACTAAAATATATCCAGTTCAAAATCTCTTCTATAAAGCCTTGGCATCTCCAAGTAGAGATTTGCAACCTTGTTTTCTTCCATTGCAACATTCATAATTGAAGAGACTCATATGCCTGGGCTCAGACATGTCCTATATGATTAAAATTTTTATGAAATATTAATTGACCACATTCTCTGGGTTCAGTGCTGGCCATGCAGAGATGAATTTGTGGGGATACATTTGGCCACAAGAAACAGAAAAATCCAATTAACACGACTTAAGCAAGAAAGACATTCAGTTATGTCACCTAAGAGTAAGTCTGGAGTTAGGGGATTCTGGGGTTTGGTGCAATGGCTTATTAATATCAGCAAGGACCCCGTTTTCTACTCTTTTGTTCTACCTTCCTCAAAATGATAGCTTCACACCCTAAACTTGTTGCCTTGTGGTCACAAAATGGTTGCCATAGCTCTGGGTCTCACATCCTCATACCAATGAACTAAGCAGGAAGGAAGGGAACAAGTGGGAAAGAGTTCTGTTTGTATTAAGGAAGAAAAATATGTTAAAATAATAAGAGTAACAGCAACAAACACATGTATGGGGCTCCGCCTTTGCCAAGCTCTGTTACATTTTTTACATAAATTAACTTTTTTTTTTTTTTTTTGAGACGGAGTCTTGCTTTGTCACCCAGGCTGGAGTGCAGTGGCACCATCTCGGCTCACTGCAACCTCTGCCTCCTGAGTTCAAGCGATTCTCCTGCCCCTCAGCCTCCCGAGTAGCTGGGGTTACAGGCACGCACCACCACACCCGGCTAATTTTCGTATTTTTAGTAGAGATGGAGTTTCGCCGTGTTGGGCAGGCTGTTCTCAAACTCCTGACCTCAAGTGATCTGCCTGCCTCAGCCTCCCAAAGTGCTAGGATTACAGGAGTGAGCCACTGTACCCAGCATAAATTATTTAAGAAGCCCTTAATTTCATGGCCACCCTGAGCTGCGAGGGAGCCTGGGAAAGCAGGTATCAGGCAAAAGGGACAGAAATTCATGTCCTGGGCAGGGCACCATGCTGCCCCCTACCCAAACTGAGGTTCTGCTAGTCACAGACTTTATAATGTAGTGGGAATGGCTGTGAGGTTATGTGTAAATTTTTAAGACATTTACAAATAGCTTTTTTACGTTTAACTCCCCTTTCTTTCTCTCTCTCTCTCTCTTTCTTTTTTTGAGACAGTCTTACTTTGTCACCCAGGCTGGAGTGCAGTGGCACGATCATGGCTCACTACAGCCTCAACCTCCTGGACTCGAGCCATCCTCCTGGGACTGGGACTACAGGCATGTGCCACCATGCCTACCTAATTTTTAAGTTTTTTTGTGAAGATGTGGTCGCTATGTTGCTCAGGCTGGTCTCTAACTTCTGCGGTCAAACAGTCCTCCCACCTAGGCCTCCTAAAGTGCAGGGATTATAGGCGTGAGCCACCACACCTGGGAACATTTAACTTGTTTTTGGTTATCAAAGGGAGTGCTTCAACTTTTGCCCGTTGGTTGTGTGTAATTTCTGTGTATGGCTGTACTTCAGCCCTCTGACTCCTAATCAAGAAAATACTCAAGAGTGCAAAGGAGGCTGGGAGCCGTGGCTCATGCCTATAATTCCAGCACTTTGGGAGGCCGAGGTGGGAGGATCACTTGAGGCCAGGAGTTCGAGACCAGCCTGGCCAACATGGTGAAACCCTGCTTCTACTAAAAATACAAAAATTAGCTGGGAGTGGTGGCATGTGCCTGTAGTCCCAGCTACTCAGGAGGCTGAGGCAGGAGAATCGCTTGAACCCAGGAGGTGAAGGTTGCTGTGAGCTGAGATCTTGTCATTGCACTCCAGCCTGGGTGACAGAGCAAGACTCCGTCTCAAACAAACAAACGATACAAAGAAGTGAGAGTTATAGGATTATAAGAATGGAATTTTATTCTGAATCCCCTGTAATGTAACAAAAAGTCAACCATTCAGAAACCTTGGTGGAGCTGGTGTGGTGGCTGACGCCTGTAGTCCTAGCACTTTGGTAGGCCGAGGCAGGAGGATTTCTTGAGTCCAGGAGTTCGACACCAGTCTGGGCAACATAGCGAAACCCCGTTTCTGCAAAAATTACAAAAATTAAGTGGGGGTGGAGGCACATGCCTGTAGTCCCAGCTGCTCGGAAAGCTGAGGTGGGAGGACGGTTTGAAACTAGGAGGTGGAGATTGCAGTGATCTGAGATAGATCGTACTACTGCACTTCAGCCTGGGCGATGGAGCCAGGCGCTGTCCCCCTCTCCCCAACCCAAAAAAGAAACTCTGATGAGTTATTTTGGTAATAAATTTCTTGTGACACACCTCACAGTGAATTGTGATGGGCTGGTGGCTCTCTCACTGTTTCAATGATTTCTTGCCTTATAACAAACCCAACTTAGTGGCGTAAAACAAATATTATTATGCTCACAGTTTCTGTGGGTCAGGAACTTAATCAGGGCCCAGTGGTGATGGCTTGTCTCTGCTCCAGCTGGGACCTAGAGTCATCTAAATGCTTCTTCACTCGCATGTCTGGTTCCTGAGCTGGGGTGATTCAAAAGCTATACTGGGACTATCAGATGGAGTACCTATATGTGGTCTCTCTGTATGTCTGGGCTTCTCACACCATTGTGGTTAGGTTCCAGGATGTAGCATCCTGACCGCTTTTCTTTTCTTTTCTTTCTTTTTTTTTTTTTCTTTCTCGAGACGGAGTTTCACTCTTGTTGCCCAGGCTGGAGTGCAATGGCGTGATCTCCGCTCACCACAACCTCCACCTCCCGGGTTCAAGCGATTCTCCTGCCTCAGCTTCCCGAGTAGCTGGGATTACAGGTATGCATCACCACACCCGGCTAATTTTTGTATTTTTAGTAGAGATGGGGTTTCTCCATGTTGGTCAGGTTGGTCTCAAACTCCCGACCTCAAGTGATCTGCCCGCCTTGGCCTCCCAAAGTGCTAGGATTACAGGCCTGAGCCCACGGAGGCTGGCCTTTTTTTTTTTTTTTTTTTTTTTTTTTTTTTTTTTTTTAAGATGGAGTTTCTCTCTTGGTGGCCAGGCTGGAGTGCAGTGATGTGATCTCGGCTCACCACAACCTCCACCTCCCGGGTTCAAGCATTTCTCTTGCCTCAGCCTCCCGAGTAGCTGGGATTACGGGGTCATGCCACAACTCCCGGCTAATTTTTGTACTTTTAGTAGAGACAGGGTTTCACCATGTTGGCTAAGCTGGTCTCAAATTCCTGACCTCAAGTGATCTGCCTGCCTCAGCCTCCCAAAGCACTGGGATTACAGGTGTGAGCCACCATGCCTGGCAGTACACACACATACTTGCACACGTGTGGGCATGAACATGCACAGTTACGCACCTTTGGTTAGACTCAAGTTCAGGCAGACACTCATTTCCATACAAATACATACATAGTCACAGAAGTCAGGCACACACAAATATACACAACGAGTCACAAATTTTGCCTGCATCACCCAGACATCCACACCCAGTCACAGACCCACAATCACACACACACTCAAGGATTCACCTATCACAGAAGGTTCCAATTCCTTGTTGTTTATTTGTGCATAATGTATAAAAGTAAAACAATAAACTCAGCCCTATGTCTCAGTCAGGGCTGCAGCTTCATAAATAAAGGGTGAGAGGAAATAAATTAAGGAAGGAGTAGGGCTCAGCGCATAAATAAGGTGTGGGGTGTCAGGTGGACTCAGGGTGGGTTGACGTTCTCAGACACAGGTTCCCATCGGCCACATATTTGAGGTCTCGCGTGAGGAGGCGGAAGAGGTTGAAGGTGACAGATGCCTCCAGGCAGCCAGCGGACTCCTGTAGGGGAGGAGGGGATGGGTCAGGGGCTGTCCAGGGTCTGGGCTCCTATTGGCTCCCCAGACCCTGGTCCTTCTCTTCCTGGGTCACTCACCTTTTTGGGGGCCTCCTGGAGCCGGTGCAGCCAGTGGTGGAGGCGGCCCCGGGGCCTGGGCCCTGCTGTGGGCTGAGGCTGGATCTGTGGGCAGAAGAGGGCGGTGTGTGAGGCGGAGCCTGGGCCACCACAGGGGAAGGATGCTGCTCAGAGCCCACAGACCTGGGTGCCCGGGCCCCAAGGACTCACACAGGCCTGGAGCTGGGAGAGGATGTGGTGCAGGGTGTGAAGGGGCTGGTCTAGGACGTCCTCCAGGGCTGGGCCAGCAGCGGCCTCCAGGACCTTCAGCGTCAGGGCCAGCTCAGCCTCCAAGGCCACAGGGCGCTCCCTCACCTGAGGAGAGGTGAGAAAGAGCAGGTGAGGGAGAACAGGCAAGAAGACCCAGTTAGTGGGGACAGGTAGGCAGTCCTGGGGAAGGTCGGTGACACAGTGCATGTGGTGGGGACAGGTGAGGGGTCTGGGGAGAAGGAGACAGGAGGGGGAAGACATGAGGAAGGATACAGGTGAGGCAGGATGGTCAAGGAGGCAGGTGAGGGGATAAGTGAAATGGAGACAAATGAAAGGGGACTTACGGGGGTCACAGAAGTTCTCTGGGGCGGGGTGGGGACGGGTGAGGAGAAAGCAGGTTGGGGGCACAGTAAGAGAGGGACAGTTGCATGCACAGAGAAGAAGGGTAGGGCTGGGTGTGGTGGCTCACGCCTGTAATCCCAGCACTTTGGGAGGCCGAGGCGGGTGGATCACCTGAGGTCAGGATTTCGAGACCAAGCCTGGCCAACATAGTGAAACCCCGTCTCTGCTAAAAATACAAAAATTAGCTGGGCATCATGGCACATGCCTGTAATCCCAGCTACTCGGGAGGCTGAGGCAGGATAATTGCTTGAACCCGGGAGGCAGAGGTTGCAGTGAACCGAGATCATGCCACTGCACTCCAGCCTGGGCCATAGAGCAAGACTCTGTCTCAAAAAAAAAAAAAAAAAAAAAAAAAAGAGAAGGGTGGATGAGGGGGGAGCATGAGCTGGATGAATGTCAGTGAGAGATAATGAGGGACAGGTGACAGAGGCAGGTGAGAGGGAGAGGGGGTCAGTGTTGGGAACAGACAGGGAGAAGTGGAGCAGGACGAAAGGCACAGGTGGGCGACAGACTGGAGACATTTGGGAGAGAAATGAAGAGTGAGAGTGGAAGTGACAGGGACAGGTGAGCGAGCTAGGGAAGTGGGGCCGATGGGAGATGATAAAAGGGACCCAGGGGAAGGACAGAGTCAAGAGAGCAGTTTTGAAGTGGCAGGGGCACAGGACAGGTGAGGAGAGGTCCAAGAGAGTGAAGGACAAGGGAAACAAAGAAGGCTAAGGGGCCACTTAAGAAGAGGGGGGAGAGGGTCAAGGGAAGGGTGAAGGGGGCCTGACTTTCAGCTCACCTGGAGAAGCCTCAGGTCCCAATTCCCGGGGAAGACAGGAGAGCTGCAACTCCAGTTTTTCAGCTTGAGTGACTCTTCCTAGAGAGCAAGGGCAGGGGTTAGCCCACAGCAGGATGGCTGGAAGCTAGCTCATAGCAGCAAGGATGAAGTTGGCCTGACAGCATGGGTTTAACCCAGTGCAGAAAGGATAGAGGTTTGCCATAGTTGGAAGGCTAGAGGCTAGCCCACAGTAGAAGGGCAGTAATTGGGACACCCGTAGAAGTGGTTCATCCACAGCAACAGGAACTCACCAAGGCGTCCCTGGCCTTCTTGAAGCTCGCTAGCTCCTGTGGTGACAGAGATTTGAACCTGCCAATGTGGCAGCCCTTCCCAGTTGTGGTGGGCTTGGAAGTGGGGACAGGGCCTGCCACGGCCAAGCCTAGCACCAAAGTCACCAGCACCACGGTCCAAGCTGCAGCCATGGCTAAATCGCAACTGCTTCCCCAGCGGCATGGCTCTGCTTTTTAGCCACGCAAAATGGGCAATCCAAGATGATGTGTGTAAAGTGAAAAGGTAATTGGAAATGAGAATTTCCACTTTGACTTAAGAGGCATGAGTGGGCGGGGCCCGTCTGGGAGCCTGATGAGGGAACAGGTGTGGGCAGGGCCAAGTGAGCTGGGAGCTGCATCAAGAAGGAAAGAGAAACTGAAATCCTTAGAACTCCCTGGGCAGCTTTCAGCCAACTGGCCTCAGGGAGTCCCTGACGGAGGCTGAGATTAGGGATAAGGCTACCTGAGTGGCAGAGAGGAAGCTTCTTTTTTATTCTAAATTAGCCAGGTGTGGTGGCATGCGCCTGTGGTCTCAGCTACTCAGGAGGCCGAGGCATGAGAATCACTTGAACCCGGGAGGCGGAGGTTGCAGTGAGCCAAGATCGTGCCACTGCACTCCAGCCTGGGTGATGGAGTGAGATCCTGTTTCAAAAAAAAAAAAGCTTGTTTTTTATTTTATTGTTATTATTATTTTTTGAGACGTAGTTTTGCTCTTGTTGCCCAGGCTGGAGTGCAATGGTGCAATCTTGGCTCACTGCAACTTCTGCCTCCCGAGTTGAAGCGATTCTCCTGCCTCAGCCTCCTAAGTAGTTGGGATTACAGGTGCATGCCATCACGCCTGGCTAGTTTTTGTATTTTTAGTAGAGACTGGGTTTTACTATGTTGGTCACGCTGGCTTCGAACTCCTGACTTCAGATGATCTGCCTGCCTTGGCCTCCCAAAGTGCTGGGATTACAGGCGTGAGCCACCACCTTACTTTATTATTTATTTATTTATTTTTGTAGAGATAGGGGTCTCACTATGTTGCCCAGGCCAGTCTTGAACTCCTGGCCTTAAGCCATCCTCCTGCTTCAGCCTCGCAAAGTGCTAGTATTAAAGGCATGAGCCACTGCTCCTGGCCAAGAAGGAGCTTCTGCCATTGGTTTAAGAATGTCCCATTAACTAATTTCAGTTCATGCTCCTAATGTTTCTCTGAGTAGTTATTTTTATAATTGTGATGGTTAATTTTAGGTGTCACCTTGACTGGTTAAGTTTATCAGATAGCTGGTGATGCGTTAATTCTGGGTATGACTCTGGGGTGTTTCCAGAAGAGATTGGCATTTGAATCAATGGACTGAGTAAGGAAGACCCGTTGTTACCCAATGTGGTGGGCACCATCCAATTGGCCGAGGGCCTGAATAGAACAAAAAGGCAGAGGAAAGGAGAATTTGCTCTCTCTTATGAGCTGGGACACCCTGCACCTGCCCTTAAACATCAGAACTCCAGGCTCTTTGGTCTTTGAATGCTGGGATGTGCAGCTGGGCATGGTGGCTCACGCCTGTAATCCCAGCAGTTTGGGAGGCTGAGGCAGGTGAATCACTTGAGGTCAGGAGTTCGAGACCAGCCTGGCCAACATGGTGAAACCCCATCTCTACTAAAAATATAAAAATCAGCCAGGCGTGGTGGCACAGGCCTGTAGTCCCAGCTACTTGGGAGGCTGAGGCAGGAGTATCGCTTGAACCCTGGAGGCGGAGGCTGCAGTGAGCTGAGATCATGTCACTGCACTCCAGCCTGGTCAACAGAGTGAGACTCCATCTCAGAAAAAAAAAAAATGCTGGGACTTGCACTAGCTACCCCCTAAGTCCTGAGGCTTTTATTCTGGAACTGAGCTGCACTACAAGCTTCCCTGGTTCTCCAGCTTGCAGATGGCCTGTTGTGGAACTTCTTAGCCTCCCTAATTGTCTGAGCCAATTCCCCTAATAAATCCCCTCCTATCTCTCTCTCATCTATCTAGTCTCTCTCTCTCTCTCTCTCTCTCTCTCTCTCTATCTAGTCTATCTCTCTCATCTATCTAGTCTATATCTCTCTATCTATCATCTATTTATCCAAACATCCTATTTGTTCTGTCTCTCTGGAGAACCCTGACTAATACAATAATCATGCCCATTTTACTAGTGAGATAACTGAGGCATAGGAAGGCAAAGTGACTTGCCTAAGGTCCCACAGTGGGATAGAGGCAGAAATGGGGTATGATGAGTCCTATGTACTTGCTCCCTATTCCATATGCAGCCCAGGTAGAAGATGAGAACCTCTGGGGGTAGCAGGCCCACTTCTCCTTTCTGTCCCTCTGGGTAGCATGAGAGGGGTAGGGAACTCCTTATTCGCTGGGGGCAAGCGCATTTCCTGGGGACTGGAGGGGCTGCCTGGAGAGAAGGCAGGCGGTGAGTCTGGTTGCCTTGCTATCATCATCCCTGCAGTAATAGTAATTGTGTAGCAGGTAAGAAACTGCTCTGATGTGCAGACATTTCCTATTTTCACTCCTTTATTTTTTTTCTTAGCCCTTTGGTGCAGAAAGTTATTAATCATACTCTTCAGATCATAACACAGGATCACAATTGGCCCATGAAAGACCCTCCAAGGCTTTTATTCCTCCATTGCCAATTCCCATTCCCATCGCACCCCCACAGACACCCACTATAATGCACTTGATAAATAGCTGCAAAGATGTATCTTTATAATTTGTGATCTCGTGTGTGTATGTGTTTCCAATTTACATAAGTGGAATTGTGCTATAAATCTTCTACTTCTTTCTTTTTTATTTTTTAACTTAACACTGCTTCTGAGATCTCTTCACAAGCTGTGTACATCAAGTTTCCTGTGCACTGTATTTCATGGTGTATACAACCACAGCACTTTTACTTACCTATTCCCCCAGTGATGGACACTTAGGTTGCCTCTAGCTCCCCATTACCATAAGGCTCACACCTGTCCTCTGGGTGGGCGGCTTTCTGGAATATACGGTAGCACACCAGCTGATGCCCTCTACTGTATCCCCTCGGCTTGTGGATATGGTGGTCAGTTCCCACACAGGCTGACAGTTTCCTGCCTCACGTGCTTGGATCTTTCTGCTTCTCTGCTGGAGACCAAGGCCTTTCTACTGCCCACATGCAGAATGGACTGGAAGTAGCAGGATTGATTCCCCCAGTAGCAGTCCTCAAACAGTGAGGGCTGAAAGCAATGGAATAAATACTGCAGCTTCCCTTTCCCTTGGAGGGTCAATTCTCGGGCGACTTCTACATGACTCCTTGATCTTCTGACTGTCCCCAGAACAAATGACTTCTAGCTGCTCACAGCAGTAGCCTTTTTGGGGGCTGGAATTAGGGTGGGTCAAATTAGGGGACCAGAGTCAAAATTTAAGCAGGGGGCCAGGCGTGGTGGCTCACACCTGTAATCCCAGCATTTTGGGAGGCCGAGGTGGGCAGATCACCTGAGCCCAGGAGTTCGAGACCAGCCTGGCCAACATGGTGAAACCCTGTCTCTACTAAAAATACAAAAATTAGCTGGGTGTGGTGGCATGTGCCTGTAAACCCAGCTACTCAGGAGGCTGAGTCACAGGAATCGCTTGAGCCTGGGAGGCGGAGGCTGCAGTGAGCCGAGATTGTGCCACAGCACTCCAGCCTGGGTGACAGAGTGAGACTCTGTCTCAACAAACAAACAAACAAACAAAAATTAAGGAGGTGCTCACTCTGAGTCAGGGAAGTGCTCTAGGTGCCTCCCTCTACTCCAGACTCTGCACCATTTATTGGCTTTTTGCTCTTCCTGGCTCAGTTTCCCCACTCGCTTGTGCTTCTGGGAAACAGCTCCCAAATAAGCCACCTGCATCTTTGGCTTCAGGATATGCTTTTGGGAGAACCTGAACTGAAGATTGCTGGGTCACAGGGCATACCTGTGCTTATATGGTCTAATCAGTGCTGTTCATTAGAACTTTCTGCAATGACAGAAATATTGTGCATCTTTACGGTCCAATGTGGCTGTTAGGTATTTAAAATTTGGCAAGTGCAATGCAGGAACTGAATTTTCAATTTATTTCATTTTATTTAAATTTAATTACTGTATGTGGCTAGTGGCTATCATGATGGGCAGCACAGCTCTACATATTCATCCTTTGCTCTCCCAAATAGTTGCACCTGTATCCCTCTCTCCAGAAGTGCTCGAGGGTCTATATGCTGGCAATACTGTAGCCTCCCCAACACTTGGATCTGATTTAGATGATGAGATCCTGGGGCTTGCATCTGAGCCTGCCATAGTAGATGAGATTTTTGAGGTTGAGGAAAGACATGAGTCTATTTTGCATGTGGAAGGAATATAAATAATTTGTGGCCAGAGAGCTGACTGTTAAAACTTGTCTTTGGCCTGGCACGATTATTCATGCCTATAATCCCAGCACTTTGAGAGGCTGAGAAGGGAGGATTGCTTGAGCCCAGGAGTTTGAGCCCAGCCTGGGCAACATAGCAAGACCTCATCTCTACAAATTAAAAAAAAAAAAAAATAAGGGCTGGGCGTGGTGGCTCACACCTGTAATCCCAGCAGTTTGGGAGGCCGAGGCAGGCAGATCATCTGAGGTCAGGAGTCCAAGACCAGCCTGGCCAACAGGGTGAAACCCTGTCTCTACTAAAAATACAAAAAATTAGCCAGGTGTGGTGGCGCTACTCGGGAGGCTGAGGCACGAGAATCGCTTGAACCCGGGAAGTGGAGGTTGCAGTGAGCTGAGATCATGCACTCAGCCTGGGTGACAGAGTGAGACTCTGTTTCAAAAAAAAAAAAAAAAAAAGTTTAATCCCCAGTATGGCAATGTTGGGAGGTGGAGCTTAGTCGGAGGTGTTTGGGTCCTGGGGGCAGATCCATTGTGAATGGTTTGGTGCCATCCTTGAGGTAATGTGTGAGTCCTCACTCTGTTAGGTTTCTCAAGAGCTGCTTGTTAAAAAGAGCCTGGCACCTCTCATCTCTCTTGCTTCCTCTCTTGCCACATGGTCTCCACACATGCAGCTCCCCTTTGCCTTCCATCCTGAGTGGAAGCAGCCCGATGCCCTCACCAGGAACAGATGCCAGTGCCATGCGTCTTGTACAACCTGCGGAACTGTGAGCCAAATAAGCCTCTTTTCATTATAAATTGCCCAGCCTCAGGTATTCCTTTATAGCAACACAAATGCACTAAAACAGATATACAGCCCAGCTTTCAGGTCACCTAAACTATGGTGGGGGCCCTATCACCTCTAATTCCCACCCCACCAAGGACCCCACACAGCCATTTTTACTCTACTGCTGTCCTGGGGCCCAAGGAGCAAAAGAATTATACCTGCACACGTAGACAATTTCTTCTTTTATGTACAAATAGGCTTGTTTGTGTGTGTGTGTGTGTGTGTGTGTGTCTCGTTACAATTACTATGTAACAAATTACCCAAAACTTGTGATTTGTTCACTGTGTAAGGTGACTAGCACCAGAAATGTGTGAACAGAGCTCTGATTATTGCCTCAGCAATGACAAGATTAAAAAAGAAACCAGCATTTCATAATGTAATGTCTCAAAAGTCCAGGATACAAGAGAAAATAACTTGTTATACTCATCATCTCAAGAACTAGGAAAATCTCAAGTGGAATGGGAAAAGCCAATCAATAGATGCCAACACTAAAATGATACAAATATTGAAATTATTGGACAAAAATATTTAAAAAATTTTTATTTATTTGCTTTTTAAGATATGGGTGAAATCTCACTTTGTTGCTCAGGCTGGCCTCAAACTCCTGGCCTCAAATAATCGTCCCTCTTTGGCTTTCCGAGTAGCTGGGATTACAGGTGTAAGCCACCATGCCTGGCTCTCTGACAATAATTTTAAAGTAATTGTCATAAAAATGCTTCAACAAACAATCATGAATACTTTTGACACAATTTTTTTTTTTTTTTGAGACAGAGTCTTGCTCTGTCGCCCAGGCTGGAGTGCAGTGGCTGCAAGCTCCACCTCCCGTGTTCATGCCATTCTCCTGCCTCAGCCTCCTGAGTAGCTGGGACTACAGGCACCTGCCACCACGCCTGGCTAATTTTTTGTATTTTTAGTAGTAGAGACGGGGTTTCACCGTGTTAGCCAAGATGGTCTCGATCTCCTGACCTCGTGATCCACTCACTTCAGCCTCCCAAAGTGCTGGGATTACAGGAGTGAGCCTCTGCACCTGGCTGACACAAAAATTTTTAATAGAAAGTTTCATCAAAGAAATAGAAGGTATAAAGAATTGAGTGGAAATTTTAGAACAGAGAAATATAAGAACTGAAAAATACAAGAACTGAAGTAAAACTCACTGAAAGGGCCAAATAGCAGAATGGAGATGGCAGAAGAAAGAATCAGAAAACTTGAAGATAGGTCAATAGAAATTACTCATTCTGAACAACAGAGAGTAAGTAGCAAATAGATTGAAGTATGAACAAAGGATAGAAAGTAGATTTTTAAAAATGAAAAGAACTCCAGGGAGGTGGAGGTTAAAGCAAGCCAATATCGCACCACTGCACTCCAGCCTGGGGGACAATGTGAGACCCTGTCTCTAAAAAAAGAGAAAAGAAAAGAGCTCCAGGGACCTTTAGTACATTAAGTTTTAACACTCACATCACTGATGTTCTGGATGAACAGAAAGAAAGTGGGGACGGGCATGGTGGCTCATGCCTATGATTTCAGCACTTGGGGGAGCCAAGGTGGGTGTATTGTTTAAGCTCAGGAATTTGAGACCAGCCTAGGCAACATGGCGAAACCCTATCTCTACCAAAAATACAAAAATTAGCCAGGCGTGGTGGCAGGTGCTTGTGGTCCCATGGTCCCAGCTGCTTGGGAGGCTGAGGTGGGAGGACCACCTGAGACAGGGAGATGAGGCTGCGGTGAGCTGTGACTGCACTCCAAATGGGGTGATGGAGCGAGACTTTGTTCCCCCACCACAAAATAAAGATACCTATATATTTATAAATCAGGGAGGATAAAGGGACCTAAATTGTGATGTTTCCTACATTCCATTTGAAGAGATAAAATATTAATACTATTGCATTGTGATGTTATATATATACTGTAATTCCAGAGCAACCACTAAAAAACTATATAAAGAGATATACTAAAAAAAAAAAAACTATAGATAAAGCTAAATGAAACACTAAAAAAAAGCTTAGTAATCCACAGGAGGGCAATGAAAAGGAAACAAGAATAAAAAACAGAAGGAACAGAAGAAAAATAAGATGGGAGACTTAAGTTCTAATATATCTGTAATTACATTAAATGCAAATGGTTTATATACAGAGATTGGCAGAATATATTTTAAAAAACTGTATGCTGTCTACAGGAAACTCATTTCAAATATAATGACATAGGTAGGTTAAAAGTAAATGGATGGAGGCCAGGCGTGATGGCTCACACTTTAATCTCAGCATTTGGGAGGCTGAGGTGGGTGGCTCACTTGAGGTCAGGAGTTTGAGACCAGCCTGGCTAACATGGTGAAACCTCACCTCTATCAAAAATACAAAAGTTAGGCTGGGCAGGGTGGCTCATGCCTGTAATCGCAGCACTTTGGGAGACTGAGGAGGGCTGATCACCTGAGGTCAGGGGTTCCAGACCACCCTGGCCAACATGGCGAAACCCTGTCTCTACTAAAAGTACAAAAAATTAGCCAGGTGTGGTGGCAGGAATCTGTAATCCCAGCTACTTGGGAGCCAGAGGCAGGGAGAATTGCTCGAACCTGGGAAGTGAAGGTTGCAGTGAGTCAAGATTGTGCCACTGCACTCCAGCCTGGGCGATAGAGTGAGACTTCATCTCAAAAAAAAAAAAAAAAAAAATAGCCAAAATGAATGAGGACAAAAATACAACATATAAAAACTCGTGGTTGGACATAGTGGCTCATGCCTGTAATCTCAACAATTTGGGAGGCTGAAGTAGGAGGATCATTTGAGCCCAGGAGTTCAAGACCAGCCTGGGCAACATAGGGAGACACGGTCCTACAAAAAATTTAAAAATTAGCTGGGTGTGGTGGTGTGCACCTGTAGTTCCAGCTACTTGGGAGGCTGAGGAGGGAGGATCACTTGAGCCCAGGAGGTTGAGGCTGCAGTGAGCAGTGATAGCACCACTGCACTCCAGCCTGGGTGACACAATGAGACCCTGTCTCAAAAAAAAAAAACAGGAAGAAACCTCCCCCAAAACTTGTGGGATACAACTAAAGCAGTCTTAGAGAGAAGTTTATAGCACTTAATGCTTATATTAAAAATGAAGAAATGGCCAGATGTGGTGGCTCAAGCCTGTAATCCCAGCACTTTGGGAGGCTGAGGTGGGTGAATCATTTGATGGAAGTTCAAGACCAGCCTGGCCAACATGGTGAAACCTTGTCTCTACTAAAAATACAAAAATTAGCCAGGTGTGGTGGTGCACACTTGTAACCCCAGCTACTTGGGAGGCTGAGGCACAAAAATCGCTTGAACCTGGAAGGCAGAGGTTGCAGTGAGCCGAGATGGCACCACTGCACTCTAGCCTGGATGACAGAGCGAGACTCTGTCTCAAAAAAACAAAAAAATGAAGGAAAAGTCTCAAATTACTAAACAAGGCATTCCCTCAAGAAACTAGAAAAAGCTAAGTAAACTCAAATCAAGCAGAAGGAAAGAAATCATAAAGAGGTGGAGAAATCAATTACATAGAAAACAGAAAAGCAATAAAGACAATAAAATCAAAAGCTGGTTCTTTGAAAAGATGAATAAAATTGATAAACTTTTAGCAAGACAGAAGAAGAGAAAAGAGAGAAGACACAAATGACCACTATCACTACAGACCTCATGGACGTTAAAAGAATAATAAGGGAATACTGTGAATGAGTCTATGCATATAAACTCAACTTAGACAATATGGACAAATTGCTCAAAGACCGCAAAGTGCTGTAATCCTAGCACTTTAGGAGGCCAAGGCGGGAGGATCGCTTGGCCAAAGCTCACCTAAGATGAAATAGATATTATGAGTAGTCTTATAACTATTTAAAAAACTTGATCTCTAATTAAAAGGCTCCCAAGAAGGAAATCTTTGTGTCCAGATGTTTTCACTGTAGAAATCTAGCAAACATTTAAAGAAGAATTGATACCAATTCTTTAGTATCGCTTCCAGAAAACAGAAGAGGAAGCAATACTTTTCATTTCATTTTATAAAGTCAGCATTATCCTGATTCCAAAACCAGACAAAGGCAGAATGAAAACAAATAAAGAAAAAGAGAAGCTATAGACCAGTATTTTCCTTTTCTTTTCTTATCTTTTTTTTTTTTTTTGAGACAAGGTTTCACTCTTTTACCCAGGCTGGGTGCAGTGGCATGATCACAGCTTGCTGCAGCCTCAACCTCCTGGGCTCAGGTGATCCTCCCACCTCAGCCTCCTGGGTAGCTGGGACTACAGGTGCCCACCACCATGCCTGGCTAATTTCTGGATTTTTTTGTAGAGACAAAATTTCGCCATGTTGCCCAGGCTACTCTTGAACACCTGGGCTCAAGCGATCCTCCCGCCTTGGCCTCCTAAAGTGCTAGGATTACAGGCATGAGCCACAGTGCCCAGTTTAGACCAATATTTTTTATGAATGTACATACAAAAAAAGCAAATCTTATACAGCAATAAAAAATATGTAAAAATAAATATGTTGCCATATGAATTGAACAAGGACTTCGGGAGGCCAAGGTGGGCAGATCATTTGAGGTCAGAAGTTCGAGACCAGGCTGGCCAACACGGAGAAACCCCATCTCTACTAAAAATACAAAAATTAGCAGGGCGTGGTGGTGCATGCCTGTAATCCCAGCTACTCGGCAGGCTGAGGCAGGAGAATGGCTTGAACCTGGGAGGCAGAAGTTGCAGTGAATCAAGATTGCGCCACTGCACTCCAGCCTCAGCAACAGAGTGAGACTCCATGTCAAAAAAAAGAACTGAACAAGGACTCATGCAGACACTTATAGACCTATATTCACAACACTGTTATTCACAAAGATGGAAACAACCCATGTGTTCATGAACAGATGAGTGAATAAACAAAATATGATATGTACATGCAATGAAATATTATTCATGTATAAAAAAGAATGAAATTCTAATACATGCTGCTATATCGATTATCCTTGAAACCATTATGGCTAAGTGAAGTAAGCCAGACACAAAAAAGACAAATATTTTATGATTCTACTTATGGGAAATATCGAGAATAGGGAAATTCATAGAGGCAGAAAGGAAATTAGAAATTACTTAGGGCTGAGTGAGGAAGGGATGTTATTTGCTTTATGCATACAGGTTTTCTGTTTGGGGTGTTGAAAAAAATTTGAAAACACATAGTGGTGATGGCTGCACACCATTGTGAATGTAATTAATACCACTAAATTGTACACTTAAACGTGGTTAAAATGGCAAATTTTACGTTATATTAGGTTGATGCAAAAGTAATTGTGGTTTTTGTCGTTAAAAATAATGGCAAAAACTGCAATTACTTTTGCACCAACTTAATATATCTTTTACTGCAGTTAAAGGTGGAAAAGTTAATCTCACTGGAAGAGTGGTGGTCCAAAGTAAATAAAGATGTTTCACATTAAAGAAAAATTATACTTCATGACTATGTGGGATTTATTCCAGGAATGCAAGGTTAGCCAAATATTTTGCAATTTCTCAATGGGATTCATCATATTAACAGGCTAAAAAAGAAAAATCATGCATAAAAAGCATCTGACAAAATCTAACATCCATTCCTGATATAAAAAACTTTCAGAAAACTAGAAATTGAAGGAAACTTTCTCAGCCTGATAACAAAATTTATGAAAAACCTTCAGCTAGCCTCAAAATGGTGAAATACTTGTTGCTTTTCCTCCTAAAAATCACAAGCATGGCAAGGATACTCATTCTCACCCCTCATTATTTCATTATTTTCATTGGGATGAAATACACATAATATAAAATTTACTATCGTAACCATTTTTTTTTTGAGACAGAGTTTTGCTCTTGTTGCCCAGGCTGGAGTGCAATGGCGCGATCTCAGCTCACTGCAACCTCTGCCTTCTGGGTTCAAGCGATTCTCCTGTCTCAGCCTCCTGAGTAGCTGGGATTACAGGTGCGTGCCACCATGCCTGGCAAATTTTTGTATTTTTAGTAGAGACGGGGTTTCATCATATTGCTCAAGCTGGTTTTGAACTCCTGACCTCAGATGATTTGCCCACCTTGGCCTCCCAAAGTGCTGGGATTACAGGCATTAGCCACTGTGCCTGGCCTATCATAACCATTTTTAAGTATACAATTCAGTGGCATTAAATACATTACATTGTTGTGCTACCATCAGTACCATCTATCTCCAGAACTCTTTTCATCTTGCAAAACTGGAAGTCTTTACTTATCAAACAATAACTCCCATTCCCCTCTCCTCCAAGCCCCTGGTAACTGCTATATTACTGTTTCTATGAATTTGACTACTCTATATGCCTCATATAGGCAGAATCATATATTTGTCCTTTTGTGACTGGCTTATTTCACTTAGCATAACGGCCTTAAGGTTCATTCATATTGTAGCATGGGTCAGAATTCTTTCTTTCTTTTTTTAAGGCTGAATAATGTTCTGTTGCATGTATATATCACATTTGTCTTATTCATTTATCAGTCAATAGACACTTGGAATGTTTTCACCTTTTAGTTATTGCAAATAATGCTGCTATGAACATGGGTGTACAAATACCTCTTTGAGTCCCTGCTTTCAATTCTTTTGGGTATATACACAGAAGTGGAATTGCTGGATCATATGGTAATCCTATTTTTAATTTTTTGGGGAACTGCCATACTGTTTTCCATAATGGCTGTATCATTTTACATCTCACCAACAGTGTACAAGGGTTCCAATTTCTCCATGTCCTTGTCAGCATTTGTTATTTTCTGTTTTTGTTGTAGCCATCCTAATGGGTGTGATGTCTCATCACTCTTATTTAACATAGTGTCAGAAGTCCTAGGCAGTGCAATAAGGCAAAAATAAAATAAAATACACAGAGATTGGAAGGGAAGAAATAAAACTCTCCTTATTTGTAGATGGCATGATTATGTATAAAGCCCCAGGAAACTACAAGAACTCCTAGAACTAATAAGTGAGTTGATCAAAGCCACAAGATACAACATGAACACAGAAAATCAATTATATTTATTTATACCAGCAATAAATATTTGGAAACTAAAATTAAAAATACAATTCCACTTACAATTACTGAAAAATACTTAGGTATAAATCCAACAAAACATGAATAGGATTTGTATGCTGAAAACTGTAAAACCCGGATGAAAGACATCAAAACCTATCTAAATTAAGGGACAGATATACCATGTTCATGGATTGGAATGCTCAACATAGTAAAGATGTCAATTCTCTTCAAAGTAATCTATAATTCAATGCAGTTCCCATAAAAATTCCAAGTTTTTTTTGGTCTGTATAGACAAGCTTATCTTAAAATGTATATAGAAAGGCAAAGGAACTAGAATAGCTGAAACAATATTTAAAAGGAAGAAGGTAGGAGGAGTCACACTTGCTGGTTTTGAGATTATTATATGACCATGATAATCAAGACAGTATGATATTAGTGGAAGCACAGACACATAGGTCAATGAAACAGAAGAGAACCCAGAAACAGAACCACATAAGTATACCCAAATGAATTTTGATCAAGGTACAAAAGAACTCAATATAGAAAAGATAGTCTTTTCAACAAATGGGCAATGAGACATCAAGAGTGAAAAGTACGAATGTCAGCCTAAACCTCACCCCTTATATAAAAATTAACTCAGGACCTGGCATAGTGGCTCATGCCTGTAATCCCAGTACTTTGGGAGGCCAAGGCAGGTGGATCACCTGAGGTCAGGAGTTTGAGACCAGCCTGGCAAACATGGTAAAACCCCATCTGTAATAAAAACACAAAAATTATCCTGGCATGGTGGCAGAGGTCTATAGTCCCAGTTACTTGGGAGGCTGAAGCACGAGAATCACTTGAATCTGGGAGGCCGAGGTTGCAGTGAGCCAAGATCACGCCACTTCATTCCAACCTGGGCAACAGAGTGACAATCTGCTCAAAAAAAATAAAAAAGAAAGAAAAAAGAAAATTAACTCAGGATATATCATAGATCTTAATGTAAAATGTAAAACTGTAAACTTTAAAAACAGAACATAGAAGAAAATCTTTATAACTTAGGGTTAGGCAAAGAGTTCCTAGACTTGATACCAAAAGCATGATTTTTTTTTTTGTTTTGTTTTTGTTTTGTTTTTTTGAGATGGAGTTTCACTCTGTCACCCAGGCTAGAGTGCAGTGGCGCCATCTCGGCTCACTGCAACCTCCCGGGTTCAAGCGATTCTCTTGTGCCTCAGCCTTCTGAGCAGCTGGGATTACAGCCACATACCACCACACCCAGCTAATTTTTGTATTTTTAGCAGAGGCAGGGTTTCATCATGTTGGCCAGGCTGGTCTCAAACTCCTGAGTCAGGTGATCTGCCCACCTCAGCCTCCCAAATTGCTGGAATTACAGGCATGAACCACCGCTCCCAACCAGCATGATTCTTTAAAAAACAAAAAGGGGCTAGGTGAGGCAGCTCATGCCTGTAATCCCAGCGCTTTGGAAGGACAAGGTGGGAGGATTGCTTGAGTCCAGGAGTTCAAGACGAGCATGGGCAACATAGTGAGACTGTTTCTTTTTTTTGAGATGGAGTCTCACTCTGTCATCAGGCTGGAGTGCAGTGGTACAATCTTGGCTCACCGCAACCTCTGCCTCCCAGGTTCAGGCAAGTCCCCTGCCTCAGCTTTCCGAGTAGCTGGAACTACAGGCGTGTGCCACCACACCCAGCTAATTTTTTGTGTTTTATTAGAGACGGGGTTTCACCATGTTGGCCAGGATGGTCTTGATCTTCTGACCTCATGATCTACCTGCCTCTGCCTCCCAAAGTTCTGGGATTACAGGCGTGAGCCACCATGCCCAGCCAGTGAGACTGTTTCTACAAAAATAAAAAAATTAGCTGGGCATGGTGGCACATGCCTGTAGTCCTAGCTACTTGGAAACTTGAGGTGGTAGGATTGCTTTATCAAGATCCTGTCTCTAAAACAAAAAAAGGATCAATTGGACTTTATTAAAATTAATAACTTTTGTTCTGCAAAAGGCCCTGTTAAAGGATGAGAAAACAAGACACTGGCTGGAAGACAATATTTACAAATCATGTATTCAACAAGGAATAGTAGCTAGAAAAAAATATATATTATTCTCAAAACTCATCCATAAAAACAAGAAAAAATCCAATAGAAATGGGCAAAAGACATGAACAGACAGTCAAAGAGGATACACAGATAGTAAACAAACACATGAAAATATGTCAATATCACTAGCCATTAGAGAAATGTGAATTAAAACCAAGATGAGATACCAGTACACCCCTATTAGAATGAGTAACAGTAATACCAATAGGACCAAATGCTGCTGAGGACGTGAAGAAACCCAGTCTTCCACACACCACTGGTGAAAATGTAAAATGATACAGCCATTCTGGAAAACAGTGGCACTTTCTTAAAAATTTAAGTGTGTGCTTACCACATGACTCAGCAACCACACTCCTGCTCATTTATCCTAGAGACATCAATATGTATGTCCAAACAAAAAGCTGATACAAATATTCATAGCAGCTTTATTTGTGATAGTCCCAAACTGGAAACAACTCATATGTCCTCCAACAGGTGAATGGTTAGTGTGGCACGTCCATGCAAGAGAATATTATTAGGTTGGTACAAAAGTAATTGCAGTTTTGGACAGTGAATTTTAAAAACTATTATAACTAGGCTCAAACCCATCTTTATTATAAGTCAGAATATGATACATTACAATCAACACATTTTTGCCAATGAGAAATAAGTTTGTTTATTCCTGTACCGTAAAAATTGTGCTTTGGGATTCGACGAGTTCTTGGGAAACATTTTCTGCATCCTACTGATTGTGGAAGCATTTTTTTCTGCAAAAAGTTGTCGAGATGCTTGAAGAAGTGGTAGTTGGTTGGCGAGAGGTCAAGTGAATGTGGTGGATGAGGCAAAACTTCATAGCCCAATCATTCAACTTTTGAAGCATTGGTTGTGTGACATGCAGTCAGGCGTTGTCGTGGAGAACTGGGTCCGTTCTGTTGACCGATGCCAGCTTCAGGCATTGCAGTTTTTGGTGCATTTCATGGATTTGCTGAGGCTACTTCTCAGATGTAATGGTTTCGTCAGGATTCCGAACGCTGTAGTGGATCAGACGGGCAGCAGACCACCAAACAGTGACCATGACCTTTCTTTGGTGCAAGTTTGGCTTTGGGAAGGGCTTTGGAACTTCTTCTCAGTCCAGCCACTGAGCGGGTCGTTGCCGGTTGTTGTATAAAATCCACTTTTCATTTCACGTCACAATCTGATTAAGAAATGGTTCGTTGCTGTTGCATAGAATAAGAGATGACACTTCAAAATGACGATTTTTAAAATTTTCGCTCAGCTCATGAGACACCTACTTACCGAGTTTTTTTTTTTTTTTCTTTTTGTGACAGAGTCTTGCCCTGTCTCCCAGGCTGGAGTGCAGCGGCGCGATCTCGGTTCACTGCAACCTACGCCTCCTAGGTTCAAGCAATTCTCCTGCCTCGGCCTCCTGAGTAGCTGGGATTACAGGCACCCACCACCACACCCAGCTAATTTTTGTATTTTTAGTAGAGACAGGGTTTTGCCGTGTTGGCTAGGCTGGTCTCGGACTCCTGACCTCAGGTGATCCGCCTGCCTCGGCCTCCCAAAGTTCTGGGATTACAGGTGTGAGCCACTGCGCCTGGCCATTATGGAGCTTTTTCACCTTTCCGATTTGCTTCAAATGCCGAACAACCATAGAATGGTCCATGGTCGACGTTGAGTTCTTCGGCAACTTCTTGTGTAGTTGTAAGAGAATCAGCTTCGATGACTGTTCTCAGTTGGTTGTTGTCAATTTCCTACGGCGGCCACTATGCTCCTCATCTTCAAGGCAAAACTTCTCCTTTTCAAAAGTTCTTGAACCACCACTGCACTGTACGTTCATTAGCAGTTCCCGTGCCAAATGTGTTGTTGATATTGCGATTTGTCTCCGCTGCTTAACAACCCGTTTTGAACCCAAATAAGAAAATTGCCTGAATTTGCTTTCTGCCTAATATAATTTCCATAGTCTAAAGTAAACATAAAATCAACAGCAAGTAATGTCATGAGCAAAAAAACATAAAGCAAGAAATGGACATTAAAATGATGTATAACATAACCACATTTATTTAAGAATGTATTCCAATATCAAATGACAAATTTCAACAATGCAAAAACCACAATTACTTTCAGCAATTAATAGGATTCAACTATTGATACACACAACCTGGATGGATTTTAAGCATGTTTTACTGAGTGGGGAAAAAAGTCGGTCTCAAAAAGTGACATTCTGGCCGGGCGTGGTGGCTCACACCTGTAATCCCAACACTTTGGGAGGCCTAGGCAGGCAGATCACGAGGTCAGTAGTTCGAGACCAGCCTGGCCAACATGGTGAAACCCCATCTCTTCTAAAAATACAAAAAATTAGCCGGGTGTGGTGGCACGTGCCTGTAACCCCAGCTACTCGAGAGGCTGAGGGAGGAGAATCGCTTGAACCCAGGAGGTGGAGGTTGCAGTGAGCCGAGATTGCACCACGGCACTCCAGCCTGGGCAACAGAGCAAGACTCTGTCTCAAAAAAAAAAAAAAAAGTGACATGCTATGTGATTCCATTTATATAACATCCTTGAAATGACAAAATTACAAAGCTGGAGAACAGATTAGTGGTTGTCAAGGGTAAGAGAAGGAGAGGGAGGATGTGACTGTAAAGGTGTGACTTGTACATTTCTTTGTAGTAAGGAAGCAATTCTGTATTTTGATTATGGGATTTATACCTGTGATAAACTGTCACTGAATTATACACAAAGACATGCAGAAAGAAATGAGTGCATGCAAAAACTGGTGAAATCCCGGTAAAGTCTGTAGTTGAGTGAATAGTATTGTGACAATGTCAGGTTCCTAGTTTTGAGAATTACTATAGTTATGCAAGATGTTACTATTAGGAAAAGCTGGGTGAGGGATATGGGAAACGCTTCTGTGGTATTTTTGCAACTTCTTGTAAGTCTATAATATTTTATTTATTTTTCTGAGATAGGGTCTTGCTCTATTGCACAGGCTGGAGTGCAGTGGTGTGATGACAGCTCACTGCAGCCTCCATTTCCTGGGCTCAAGTGATTCTCCTGCCTCAGCCACTCAAGTAGTTGGGACTACAGGTGTGCCTGCCTATGATTATTATTATTAGTATTATTACCTTTGTAGAGACAGGGTCTGGCTATGTTGCCTGTGAGCCACCGAGCCCGGCTGGATGCATCTTCTTCTTCTTTTTTTTTTTTTTTTTTTTGAGATAGAGCCTCACTCTGTCACCCAGGCTGGAGTGCAGTGGCACCATCTCGGCTCACTGCAACCTCCACCTCCCAGGTTTAAGCAATTCTTCTGCCTCAGTCTTCCGAGTAGCTGGGACTACAGATGCACACCACCATGCCTGGCTAATTTTTGTATTTTTAGTAGAGACGGGGTTTCACCATATTGGCCAGGCTGGTCTCAAACTCCTGATCTTGTGATCTGCCCGCCATGGCCTCCCAAAGTGCTGGGATTACAGGCGTGAGCCACCGCGCCTGGCCGGATGCATCTTGATGCTCTGGGTCCTCATCTGTAAAGTGGGACTAATTGTAAGACCTACATCCTAAGGTGGTAGTAAGGATTAAATGAATTAACTTAATTCATTTAATTCCTTGCATAGGAGATGCACCAAATAAACTTTTGCCATTTTGTTATTAAAATATTATTTATTATTATTATGATGCTCCATAGGCAGAGGTGGGAGGAGCGTTCAGAGAAGGCTGTGTAGGAAATGGAGGTTACAGTGGGGTTGGGATCTGGCTGTGGGATCTGAGGTTCTGCAAGGCAAGCTGGCAGGCCCACTCCACCTGGTCTACCCCCAGCTGCACAGCAGTCAGGGGTTGAGCCCAGTGCTTCTTCAACTTTCACATGTGTAGAGTTACCTGGAAATATTGTTAAAGTGCACACTTCTTTTCTTTTTTCTGTTTTTTTTTTTTTTTTTTTTTTGAGACTGGTTTTCACTATGTCACCCAGGGTGGAGTGCAGTAGCACAATCACTGCTTGCTGCAGACTAGACCTCCCTGGGCTCAGGTGATCCTCCTGCCTCAGCCTCCCAAGTAACTAGGATCACAGGTGCACTCGACCACACATGGTTTATTTATTTATTTATTGAGATGGGGCTTTACCGTGTTGCCCAGGTTGGTCTCAAACTCCTGGGCTTAAGCAATCTCCCTGACCCCACCTCCCAAAGTTCTGGGATTACAGGTGTGAGCCACTGTGCCAGCCTAACCTGCACATTTCTGATTTAGTGGGTCTGGGCTAGGGCCTGAGATTCAGTATTTCTAACACTCTGCCAAGGTGGTGCCAATGAGGTTGGTTCTACGGTTTAGCAAGACTCTAGCTGATTCCGATGCGCTTTAAAGTTTAGGAATCACTGATAGAATGTAATGATTAAAACCAATCACATCTCTGGGATTGCAGGCCAGACATCTTTTGAGTTCCCTAGGTGATTATGAAGCAAGCAAGGGCCATGAACCACTGGATTGGCTAATCCCAGCTGAAGAAAGAAAAGCAAACACACCTCCTGAAATTGGAATGTGCCGCCAGGGCAGGGCTGGGGAAGCTCAGATACGCAGTGGTCAGGAGATGACAGAGGACAGACTGAATTCGAAAGAGAAACAGAAAGGAGGCTAGAGCAGAGAGCTTGGAATTCTTCTAGAAAGAGATCCCTGACGGAAAACCCTCAGAACCCATAGAGTGGTGAAAGGAGAGGAAATCGCCCTGAGTCACCCCTATTTCCTAGCAGTGGTGAAAGCACAAACGAGTTGGGGGCAGATGTTTTTGAAGCAATTGGGGCATGGTGGAGGTCTTTCTTGGAATCTTAGGGGGCACATGTACAGTTTTGCGGGAGCTGCCAGAAGAAACACGATGGGTTTGGTTGACTTGTCTCAAACACACCCAGTGGGCTGGGTGCTGCAATCCTAGCACTTTGAGAGGCCGAGGCAGGTGGATCATTTGAGCCCAGGAGTTCGAGACCAGCCTGGCCAACGTGGTGAAACCCTGTCTTTACCAAAAATACAAACATTAACTGGGCATGGTGGCACGTGCCTGTAATCCCAGCTACTCGGGAGGCTGAGGTAGGAGATTGCTTGAACCCAGGAGGTGGAGGTTGCAGTGAGCTGAGATCATGCCACTGCACTCCAGCCTGGACAACAGAGCAAGACTGTGTCTTAAACAACAACAACAATGACAAACACACCCAGGGGAGATTAAAGTAACTCCATCTTGGATGCTAATCTGCCATCTTGACTTCTTTTTTATTTGTTTGTTTTGCGACAGAGTCTTGCTCTGTTGCCCAGGTTGCAGTGCAGTGGCACGATCATGGCTCACTGCATCTTGACCTCCCAGGGTCCAGCAATCCTCCCACCTCAGCCTCCTGAGTAGCTGGGACTACAGGCCTTCACCACCACACCCAGCTAATTTTTAAATTTTTTTGTAGAGACGGGGTCTCACTATGTTGCCCAGACTGGTCTTGTACTTGTGGGGTCAAGCGATCCTCCATTCTCGGCCTCTCAAAGTGCTGAGATTCAGGCCCATGTTGACTTCTGATTAACTCCAGTTCTGGGAATGCCTCTAAGATTTCTATTTTCATGTACTTACCAAAAATCCTGCCCTTAGGTCAAAATAACCTTTATGTTATCATAAACACATACTTACCATAAATCCTGCCTTGAGGCAAATTTCCTATAGTGTATAAGCCCTACATTTGTGGGATAACTGTGTGGGGGATCCCCTCTGTCTTCCTAGGGCCTCCTGAGACATGGCTTCGGTTTGTGAATTCCTCTTAAACGTTTCCTTCTAAGAAATTGGATTTGTCGGCCGGGCGTGGTGGCTGACGCCTCTAATCCTGGCACTCAGGGAAGCCAAGGTGGGCGGATAACCTGAGATCAGGAGTTTGAGACCAGATTGGCCAACATGGTAAAACCCTATCTCTACTAAAAATACAAAAATTAGCCGGGCGTCATGGTGGGCGCCTGTAATCCTAGCTACTCGGGAGGCTGAGGCAGGAGAATTGCTTGAACCCAGGAGGCAGAGTGAGCTGAGATCGCACCTCTGCACTCCAGCCTGGGCAACAGGAGATTCTGTCTCAAAAAAGAAGAAGAAGAAGAAAAAAAAAGAAACTGGATTTGTCAGGCTCTTTCTCCCTTGGCCTTTGGGGGTAGGTTTGCACAGACCTGCTTACCTTAGAACACATCTCGTAATGAATAATGATGACAGTGACTATATTTCATGAAATGTGCTAAGTGCTTTACACCCACAATTATATAGATTCCCCACAACAAGCCTCGGCAGTGAGTATTGTTCTCCTTTTCCACTGATGAAATTGAGGCTTCATTGTAACCATCAGGCCATCCTTCTCTCTCTCTCACGCCTGCATGCACATGTGCACACACACATACACAATACCACATCATTTTCAATTCATCAGTAAGTTCCACTGGCTGTATTTTCAAAGCGTTTCCAAATTCACGCACTTCTCACCCTCCCCATACATCTCATCTACCTGTCTACTGTCACCTCCTGCCTGGATGATCACAGCAGCTTCCTCCTGGTCACCCCTCACTCCCACACCCTCTTTCCCACCTACAGTCAGAGATTACATCCCCGCTCTATTCAAAACCATCTTGTGGCTCCCATTCTGCTTAGAAAAAAATATCCAACCCCTGCCTTCCCTTACAAAGCTCTTGGAGGTCTGGACCCTCCCCCTCGCAGCTCCATCACACTGGCCTCATTGCTGTTCCTTTCTTTCTTTTTCTGAGACAGGGTCTTGTTCTGTTGCCAAGGCTGGAGTGTAGTGGCATGATCATGGCTCACTGCAGCCTTATCTCCTGGGCTCAAGCGAGCCTCCACGCTTCAGCCTCCTGAGTAGCTAGGATGACAGGTGGGTGCCACCATGCCTGGCTATTTTTTAAAAAAGTTTTATTTATATTTTTTGTAGAAATGAGGTCTCAGTATGTTGCCCAGGCTGCTCTCAAACTCCTGGGCTCAAGTGATCCTCCTGCCGTGGCCTCCCAAAGTGCTGGGACTGCAGGCGTGAGCCACTGTGCTTAACCTGCACTGCTGTTTCATGAATTAAGAGCCCATTCCTGGCTGCATAGGTCAGGGCTCTTAGCATAGAGTCCACACTGGCTAATTTGAGCAGTCAAGGGCATTGGGAAGTTCACAGATGATCGGCGAGGGCAGAGAGGCAGATTATGAAGCTGTTAAAGCAAACTAAATATGGCCTGAGAAGGAGACTCTGTACTTCTATATTTGAGTCCTTGTGGATGAACTGTAACCTAGCTTAATAGGCAGACAAGATTGAAAACCTAATTTAGGAGTATGTGCCCATAACAATAGCTGAGGGTTGGCCAATCCCAGCGGCCATACTTCAACCACTCATAGATTGCTAAGTGTTCGAACTGTTTTCAAATAAGGCAAACGCCAGCCTGCAGCCTATCCAGCTGTTTCTGTACAAAACTTCCAACTTCCATACGTCACTTCGCTTTTTCTGTCTATGAATTTGTTCTGATCACGAGACCGTGCTGGAGTCTGAATCTTCTGTGACTCTGGGGGCTGCTCGATTCACAAATGATTCATTACTCAACTGAACTTCTTTAAATTTAATTCAGCTGAACATTTTCTTTATATTATTATTATTATTTGAGATGGAGCCTTGCTCTGTTGCCCAGGCTGGAGTTTAGTGGCGTGATCTTGGCTCACTGCAGCCTCCGCCTCCCAGGTTCAAGAGATTCTCCTGCCTCAGCCTCCCGAGCATTTGGGATTACAGGCACCTGCCACCACGTCCAGCTAGTTTTTGTATTTTTAGTAGAGATGGGGTTTCGCCATGTTGGCTAGGCTGGTCTTGAACTTCTGGCCTCAAATGATCTGACGGTCTCGGCCTCCCAAAGTGCTGGGATTATAGGTGTGAACCACTGTGCCTGGCCAGCTTTCTGTGAATTTCTTCTACAAATTTACCTATTCTGAATAGTTCATATAAATTGAATCATATAATGTGTGGTCTTTTGTGCCTGGCTTCTTTCACTCAGGATAGTGTTTTCTTTTTCTTTTATTTATTTACTTATTTCATTGCTTTTTTTTTTTTTTTTTTTTGAGATGGAGTCTTGCCCTGTCACCCAGACTGGAGTGCACTGGTGCAATCTCAGTTCACTGCAGCCTCCGCCACCTGGGTTCCAGTGATTCTCCTGCCTCAGCCTCCTGAGTAGCTGGGATTACAGGCATGAGTCACCACATCTGGCTAATTTTTGTATTTTTAGTAAGATGGGATTTCACCATGTTGTCTAGGCTGGTCTCGAACTCCTGACCTCAGGTGATCCACCCACTTCGGCCTTCCAAAGTGCTGGGATTACAGACGTGAGTCACCACGCCTGGCCTTTCTTGCTCTTTTTTTCTTCCCCCAAATCAGAGGTCAAGCACAGAGTTTTCAAGGTTCACCTATGTTGTAGCATACATTAGTATTTTGTTTGTTTTAGAGTCAGGATTTCATTCTGTTGCTCAGGCTGGAGTCAGAGGCAGGATCATAGCTCACTGTGGCCTGAAACTCCTGGACTCAAGTGATCCTCTTGCCTCGGCCTCTTGAGCAGCTGGGACTATAGGCGTGCACCACCACCCCTGGCTAATTTTTGTTTTTGGTAGAGACAGAGTCTCACTATGTTGCCCAGGCTGGTCTAGAACTCCTGGGTTCAAGTGATCCTCCCACCTCAGCCTTGGAAATAGCTGAGATTACAGGCGTGAGCCACTGCCCCGGCCTCGTACAAGTTTTATTTATTTATTTTTATTATTTTATTTTAGATGGAGTCTCTCTGTATCACCCAGGCTGGAGTGCAGTGGCACTATCTCGGCTCACTACAACCTCTGCTTCCCAGGTTCAAGTGATTCTCCTGCCTCAGCCTCCCGAGTAGCTGGGATTACAGGCTCTTGCCACCATGCCCAGCTAATTTTTGTATTTTTAGTAGATACAGGGTTTCACCATGTTGGCCAGGCTGGTCTTGAACTCCTGACCTCAAGCGATCTGCCTGCCTTGGCCTCCCAAAGTGCTGGGATTACAGGCTTGAACCACCACACCTGGCTGGGCTGGCTATTTATTGAACTGATGACCCACTCTTTGTCCCGTACACCTGTCCTGGAGCTACTTTGGCCCAAACTGCACACAGAAGTGAGACCTTGTTTCAAAAAAGCAAAAGAAACCCCAAAAAGAACAAAACAACAGCCGCTCCCCCCAACAATTGCCAGTGATTTGTAATTTCTCAAGATTCTCAGGTGGCCAGCTGGTTCTTCTACTGGTGTTTTCTATCCCACTCGTGAGGCTTCAGGCGTCAGCAGAGCGGGTTCCTTCTGGAAGCAGCAGGGGAGATCTCTCTCCTTTCTCAGCCTCTGGGGGTGTCCAGCATCCCTTGACCCCGGTTCCCTTGCTGACATCACTCCAACATCCTGCTTCTGTGGTTACATCTTCCGCTAATGATGCTGACCCCGGCCTCCTTCTTAGAAGGACTTTCGTGATGACATTGGGTCCAGGTGGACAACCCAGGATAACGCCCCCATCCCAAACCCTTAACTTACTCACATCTGCAGAGTCCCTCGTGCCATGGAACATAACATATTCCCAGGTCCAAGAATCAGGAACATCTCTGGGGACCAGTCTTGCATCTAGCACGAATCCATTACAAATGCAGCAACACACCACAACAGTGTTAGCAGAACTTGTGACTTTGTTACCAAAAGAAATCACAGGCATTTCCTATCACGTTATCTTCCAGCAGGCACCTTGAAATATCATTTATGCTCATCTCTGCTTCTAAGTCACAGTGGTTATTAAAGCTGCCACAGGTGATTTTTTACTTAATGCATTCATGAAGAAGCACATGAATTGCTATGTCACAGTGTGAAAAAATATTTTGATCACTGTATTACAATCAGAGTTGGATTCCTTTGTCCTGCACGTGTTCTTTCCTTCTGAGAAGGGTCCGTAGGCTTTTCAAGGCTGCCGTGAGGTCCGGTGGGTGAAGATGATGAGGGAGCCCTGTCCCGGGGACTGTGGAGCACAGAACTGCCAGGAACTAGGGCCCCTGGATGACTGAGTGGGGCCATCCTGCCAGGGGGAGCGCTCACCTTGGGAGGAGGAGCTGGTGGAGAATGACACTCTGTGGTTTGTAATTCATGATCACTGTATTTGGGGGACTCTTTGTTCCAGCAGCTCAGCCAACTCTACTCAGCAGGGGTCCCTGATCCAAGTTGTCCCCCTCATTTGTGGGGGCCGATCCAGGGTTAGTGAGACCTCATGCTTGCTTATACAATTCAGGGGCTTCTTGGAAAGAGAATGGGCTGGACCCGGTGACTCAAGCCTGTAATCCCAGTTCGGGGAGGGGCTGGAGAGGGTGGAGGATGGTGCCGAGGAGAGAGAATCACTTGAGCCCAGGAGTTTGAGGCTACAGTGAGATGTGATCACGCAAGAGACAGGATCTTGCTGTTGCTCAGGCTGGTCGTGAACTCCTGACCTCAAGCAGTCCTCCCATCTCAGCTTCCGCCAGTAGCTGGGATTATGGGCTTGTGCCACCACACCCAGCCAATTCTCTAATTTTTTATAGAGACAGGATCTTGCTATGTTGCCCAGGCTAGTCTGGGCTCAAGTGATCCTCCCAACTCAGCCACCCAAAGTGCTGTGATTACAGGCTTGAGCAATCACATCCAGGCTCTAAATTAATTTTAAAGATGCTTCATTTCACCCAATACATCCAAAGTGCTATCATTTCAACATCTAATGAATATGTAAATTATAATCGAGCTGTTTTACATTATTTTTTTCCCACAGTAAATCTTCAAATTCTGGGGTATGTTTTACACTCACTGAAAAAATGAGGTTGCACCACCTATATTCCAGGTGCTCGATAGTGACATGTGGCCCGCGGACTCCAGTGGATAGCACAGCCCTCAATGAACCTGCTGTTCTAGATGTCTCACCATGGATGCTGATGAAAGTTCTTATTACCAAGGCATTTCTAGCTTCTGTTACTTTACTTATAGCACAATGCATTCTAAATGATCCCTCATACACTCTCAGGTAGACCAGGCACACACACAATCCCATAACTACAATGACGCACAATCAGAAGCACAATCATACACACACTGTAGGAGGCCGAAGATGCCACCCCAAAGTCACCCAGCACCGCATCCCTGGACCCTGTGCATATCTTATGTTACTCGGCAAAGGAGCTTTGCAGATGCGATTATGGCATGTGGATTGACAATGGGGAGATCACCCTGGATGCCAAACTAACCACCTGAGCCCTGAAACGTGGAAGACTTTCTCTAGCTGGAAGTACAAGAGCAACATGGCAGGAGAGGTCAGAGAGGTTCCAAGCATGAGAAAGGTTTGAAGCACTGTTCCTGGCTCTGAGTTGGAAGGGCCTATTAGTAGGGACCACAGACAGCCAGATAAGCATGAATGGGGAAGGACAGTGAATTTTCAGGGCAGTGAAATTATTCTGTCTTCCACTGTCATGAGGGATAGAATACGTTATGTATTATGCCTCAGATCTCAGGTCCTGGGGAAGAAGCGGGAGCGGCACCTGCCATCCATCCCCAGGAGCGACTCTTCCTAGAGAGCAAGGGCACAGGTTAGCCCCCAGTAGAAGGGGTGGAGGTTAGACCACTCCAGTGAGATTAGAGGATGGCTGACAACAGGATAGTGGAGGTTAACTCCCGGGAGGATGTTACAGGACCCTCCACTGCAGGAGGACATGAATCAGCCCCTATAGTAGGAGCATGAGATAGCCCACTGCAGGGAGGGTAGAGGTTAGCTTAGTGAGAGGAGTGGAGAACCCTTCAGCAGAGTCAGCTCAGGATGGACCCATAGCCAGGAGGGGGCAGGAACCTTAGTCCTACAGCAGCAAGGAACAGTGATCTGCCAACAATGTGACTGACCCTGGAAAGAGTTTCTCTTCAGAGCTCCCAGTAAGAGCCCAGCAGCAATGCTTGGATTCTAGCCTGTGAGTCCCACAGGAGAGAAACCAGCCAGGGCCAGCGAGCCTCTGACCTGCAGACTCCCAGCTCATCAAGTGTGTCTTTGGAAGATGCTACTTTTAGCGTTGTTATGGCAGCAACACAAAGGAAATACACACCAACAGACACACAGTCCAACGTCATGAGTGTCTTTTCCTTTGTTTATTTCAACAAGGGTTATAAAAAGTAGAAAAATAAACATTTTCCTGGAGGTGAGTTGGATTTACACACACAAATACATAAATAGCGACTGGGTGGCAATAAATTAAGACAAGTGGCTAATTTATAAATAAAATCTCAGGTTGCATGACTGGTGGGAGGGTCAGACACACAGGTCCCCACTGGCAACACAATTCAGGTCTCGCGTGAGGAGGCGGAAGAGGTTGAAGGTGACAGAGGCCTCGAGGCAGCCAGGGGACTCCTGTAGGGAGGAGGGGATGGGTCAGGGGCTGTCTGGGTTCTGGGCTCCCAGTGGCTCCCCAGACCTCAGTCCCTCTCTTCCCGGGTCACTCACCTTTTTTGGGGCCTCCTGGAGCCGGTACAGCCAATGGTGGAGGCGGCCCCGGGTCCTGGGCCCTGCCGTGGGCTGAGGCTGGATCTGTGGGCAGAGGAGGGCGGTGTGTGAGCCGGGGCCTTGGCAAGGGGAAGGACGCTGCTCAGAGCTCACAGACCTGGGTGCCCAGGCCCCAACGACTCACACAGGCCCGGAACTGGGAGAGGATATGGTGCAGGGTGTGAAGGGGCTGGTCCAAGACGTCCACCAGGGCTGGGTCAGTGTCAGCGGTGGCCTCCAGAACCTTCAGCGTCAGGGCCAGCTCAGCCTCCAAAGCCATGGGGCGCTCCCTCACCTGAGGAGAGGTGAGAAAGAGCAGGTGAGGGGGGAGGTGAGGGGAACAGGTTGGGGAGCAGGATAGAGAGGAACAAGTGAAGGTGACAGGCACAGGGGAGAGGGCACAGCCAGTGTGGTCAGGTGGGAGCGGAGGGAAGGGAGAGCAGGTGTGAGGAGAAGAGAGAGAGACAAGGGAGAAAGAGACGGTGAAGGGGCCACTACAGAGCCAGGTGAGTGGGGCTGGGAGAGCAGGGGTGGGCCTGACTCCCCCTCTCACCTGCAGCTGCCTCAGGTCCCAGGTCCTGGGGAAGAGGCGGGAGTGGCACCTGCAGTCCTTCAGCAGAAGCGACTCTTCCTAGACAGCAAAGGCACAGGTTAGCCCCAGCAGGAGGGGTGGAGGTTAGACCATCCTGGTGGGATTGGAGGATGGCTGACAACAGGATAGGGGAGGTTAACTGCTGGGAGGATGGTAGAGGACCCTCTTCTACAGGAAAACATGAGTCAGTCCCTACAGTAGGAGCATGAGATAGCCCACTGCAGGGAGGGTGGAGGCTAGCCCAGTGAAGGAAGCTGGGAGTGGGAAAGCATGGTGACGCTTGGAGTGGGGGTGGAGGCTAGTCCATGGCAGGAGGGCAGGGGGAGACTCACTAAGGCATCTTTGGCCCTCTTAAAGGCCTGCAGCTCCTGTGGAGACAGGGACTTGAACTGGGCTATGTGGCAGCCCCTTGCATCCGGGAGAGCCCCGTGGAGCCTGGCGACAGGAACTGCTCCAGTCACGGTCAGCACTGCGGCCATCAGCACCAGCACTGGCGTGCAGTCCCCAGTCATGTCTGTGTCACAGAGAGAAAGGGAGCTGAGGGGATGGAGAGGCTGCCCACTGAGGGCAGGGGCTGCAGGAGCTGAGCACGGACAGAGATGTGGGACTCACCTAGTTTCATTCCTGATCTCTGGTCTTTGTCAGCAGAAGAAACACTCTGAGGCTGTCACCCAGGGTCTGTTTGGGTCTTGTCTGGAGTCTCTGTTCTTTTCAGTCCCCTCTTCTGGATCTCAGACTGTGTCCTGGCTTTGACTCTTTCTGTCAGTTTTGAGCTCTGTCTGGGATGTAATTCCTGCCTGAGCTCCATGGGGCAGCTTTTATCCCTGACAGAAGGGCAGTCCCAGCTGATGTAGGAAAAGTGAAAACACAGCCTCAGGTAAGACACCGGCCACCAGGGGAGCCCCAGGCTGGGAAAGCCCAGAGCAGGGCAGGGCTAGTGAGCCAGATGAGCAGCTGGAGGGAAAGAGAAACTGATGGAGACTCAGGGGTAACCTACAGGAAGGTATGTTCCCAGGAGGATTCCACCTGCTCTGGTTTTGTTGTTGTTTAAGACAGGGTCTCACTCTGTCACTGGAGTGCAATGGCATGATCACAGCTCACTGCAGCCTCAAACTCCTGGGCTCAAGCCATCCTCCTCACCCAGCCTATTAAAGTGCTGAGATTACAGGCCTGAGCCACCCCTCCTGGCATATATATATATATATATTTTGAGACAGGGTCTTGTTCGGTCACCCAGGCTGGAGTGCAGTGCAAAATCTTGACTAACTGCAACCTCCACCTCCTGGGTTCAAGCGATTCTCTTGCCTTAGCCTCCCAAGTAGCTGAGATTACAGATTTGTGCCACCATTCCCAGCTAATTTTTATGGTTTTAGTAGAGATGACAGTTCACCAATTGGCCAGGCTGGTCTCGAACTCTTGACGTCAAGTGATCTGTCTGTCTTGGCCTCCCAAATTGCTGGGGTTGCAGGCATGAGCCACTGTGCCCAGAGGCCATGATTTCTTTCTTTCTTTCTTTTTTCTTTTTTTTTTGAGATGGAGTCTTGCTCTGTAGCCCAGGCTGGAGTGCAGCAGCGTGATCTCGACTCACTGCAACCTCCACCTCCTTGGTTCAAGGGATTCTTCTGCTTCAGCCTCCCGAGTAGAAAGGACTATAGGCATGCACCACCACGCCCAACTAATTTTTGTATTTTTAGTAGAGACGGGGTTTTGCCATATTGGCCAGGTTGGTCTTGAACTCCTGACCTCGTGATCTGCCTTCTTCGGCCTCCCAAAGTTCTGGGATTATAGGCGTGAGCCACCGCGCCCGGCCAGAGGCATATATGTGTGTGTATATATATATATATATATATATATAGAGAGAGAGAGAGAGAGAGAGAGAGAGAGAGAGCATGAGAGAGAGTGAGTGAGCAAGAGAGATGGAGTCTCGCTCTGTTGCCCAGGCTGGAGTGCAGAGGCACCATCTCAGCTCACTGCAACCTCTGCCTCCTGGGTTCAAGTGATTCTCCTGCCTCAGCCTCTTGAGTAGCTTGGATTACAGGCATGTGCCACCATGCCCAGCTAATTTCTGTATTTTTAGTAGAGACAGGGTTTCACCATGCTGGCCAGGCTAGTCTTGAACTCCTGACCTCATGATCCACCTTCCTCGTCCTCCCAAAGTGCTGGGATTACAGGCATGAGCCTCTGAGCCCAGCCAAGGCCAATATTTCTTAATTGCCCAGGCAAGGAAGGACTCAGGAATATGAGGCTCTGCTCAAGAACTGAGGTGTGACGAAGGACTTGAAGGACACCACGTGGGTGCCGTCTTTCTTAGGGAAGTTCAGGCAGTGGTGAAGAGCATGGGTCTTGGAGATGAAGGGTCTGGGGTTCAAACCTGGTTCTGACCCTCACTAGCCGTGTGACCTTGGCAAGGAGGGGTGCATTCAGCAACGCAGATTGCTAATGCACAGATTTGGAGAAAAAATTAATAACACAATTGTTTGTGTATTTATGTGAGTGATTATTTAATAGAATCCACTCATTAAGACCATACTAGGACCTCAGTTGGAGAGTTTAAAACGTGATCTCAACGGACACTACTCCTCCACAAGGCAAGTATGCTAACCCATCCTATAGGTGAGGAAACAGAGGCTCAGAAAAGTAATTTGCCCTGAATTCCACTGTAATTAACTGGCAGGGTCAGAACTGAACCTCAGGCCACCTGAGTCCCTGGCTCGGCCTCTTTTTTTGCTGTAAGGTGCACCTCACAATCATCATACGGAAAACAACCAATGCGATCAAAACACTCTTTGATAACTGGCAATAAATTTAAACCGGGAGACAGAATAGCAAATGCACAGGAACTTCACAAATACAAACACACGTAAGGGAATCCAAAGAACCACAGTCGGTTAAGGACCCTTGGGCCTTTCACTACCAAATCCCTCATGGATTGGTGTCCCTTAGATGCCGGATCCAAGAGTCACGGATTCACAGAATCTCAAAGCTGGCTGTGGGGCTACAAATCCGGGGTTAGGACCTGGTGTTGGGGGTGTCCTGGTAACCACACAAGGAGGAACTGGTCCCTGTTGCCTGGGGTCAGCCACGGTTTCCAGAGCTCAAGTTTTTTCCTGCCATAGCAACCGTTGGAGGGTCGTACAATGCACCCCGAGGAAATATCGTGGCTTCCTGGAGAACTGTGGTCTCTTCCCTGTAGAAGGACCCGCTCCTCTTATATCTGAGACAGTGGATCCAAGTCAGGCCCAAGGCTGCGAAGAAGTTCTCGTGCCTCAGCACCCACTGGCTGAGATCCTCGCCTGGCCGGCCCAATGGGCGACAGGGACCTCTTTCGGCAGCCAATGGCGTGGAGGTTTCCGTGCTGCCGGAGGGGGCGGGGTCAGAGGCAAGGCCCTGAGTGTGCAGCCAGCCGGAGCTCCCACGTGAGCAGGCGCAGGAGGTTGAAGATCACGCTGGCTTCGCGACACCGAGGGGAGTCCTGGAGCCAGGGAGGGAGGGCAGCGGGGCTAAGCCAGGCTCTTCCCTCCCGAGAAGACCTCTCCAATCCCGCCGCTCCCAGCCTCAGTGCTGTCCGTGTCAACCTCACTCGGTCCTCCGTGCAGGCTAACCCTGTACTGCCTGCTGCACTCACAGCTCTCCGCGGTTTGTGACGCCTCCTCTGGGCCCCGGGGACCTTCCTGGAGGAGCCTGGCCGTGCCAGCTGGAGGTGGGACGCGAGGCAAATGGAAAAGGCGAAGGACGGAGCCCCTCTCTGCATCTGCCCGAGGCCCTCCCAGCCGCAGACCCGAGCCCGGATTTGAGGACACCCAGAGGACCCGACCTGGGTCTGGATCGGTTTTTCCGCTAAGCAGGACAGATTGGCAAAGCGCTGGGGCTCGCCATGGGCCTGAGGATGCAGAGAAGCTGGCGGGGGCGAGGGGCGGCGGGGCGCGGCCGTCACTCACGCAGGCCGCCACGTCCCTCCCCGCGGCTGCCAGGGGCTCCAGGATCCGGCTGGCGCCGGGAAGCAGCTCCAGGCGGTGCAGGCCGCTGAGCACTGCCTGGGCGTCCGCGATGCTCCTGGCCACGTGGCGGAGCCGAGCGCAGGACTGCGGGGACTAGAGGGCGTTAGAGGGGGCAGCGCCCAGGCCATGCCTCTCCCGTCCGCTTCTGGGCCTCACCGATGGCCGCGGAGGATCCCTCCTGGGGCGGACGGAGCAGTTGCGCGACCTCCAACTCAGCGCCTCTTCCGCCTGCGGGACAAGCGGCGCTTATCGCATACGACTGGGCCCCCTCGCCAGGGCCCCTAACCTCTGCACAGTCTGGGATTCCTGGACGTGGATGGGTACTGGCAGCGTACGGTCGTGCCTGTCGTGTACTGAACCAGGGAGCTCCCCGAAGGCGTGAACCAGGGTTGAATTGCATCCCGCTCTCCCCCGGCATAGCCCTGCGCCCGCGACCTGGAGCCGAGTCCGCCCTGCAGGGCTCCTTTTGTGACTGACCCTGAGCCTGCGTTCGCGCTGACGACGGGGACTGCGGGGATCTCGTGGTGGGAACTGTGGGCTCTGACGTACAAGAGGCGCCTGCTGGGCGCTAGGACGCAGGACCCCTCGGGTCAGCGACGGGTGTGTGGGAACCCGGCGGGGCCAGTGTACCGGGGGGCGCAAGGGCTGGGCGGTCACTCACTTAGCGGTTCCTCAGCGCCTTGACCGCCGCCAGCGTCCGGGGCTCCAGCGAGCGGTAGTGCGAGAGCAGGCAGCGCTGGCGGATCGCCGCGCCCACCGTGCACACGACCCACAGTCCCGCGGCCACCGCGGCCCACACACTCGGTCGCATCTCTGCTCCTGAGGGACGTCAGGGAGGCCAAAGAGAGGGTCCCACGCGTCCAGTCCCCTGCCTTGGGTTAGGCTCACAGGGGAGGCGCAGCACACACAGAGGGAGAGAGAGCGGGAGCCGGCCCCCTCCTCGCCTTGGCCTCTGCCCTCACTTCTCCCTGCAGTGCACCCTCTGTGCCTCGTGCTGCAGCAGGTGCTGCCGGCCACTGTCCCCTGGGGGGCGTCCGGAGCAGTCTCCACCTGGGCAACAGTGCCTCGACGGACCATGCTGGCTTTTATGTGCAGGGCTGAGAGGGTTTGCAGCCGGTCCCCGTCCTGGACAAGATTTCGGAACGTCACTGCTGGCCCCAGCCCTCTGGGATCCCAGTCGGGGTGTGAGGACTTTAACCCACGGTGGGCCTATGCCAGGGACGGCTGGCCTCCAACTCTCTATCCTGAGCCAACTGCCTGTGTCTGTTTTCTGGACATCTGTTTGTCTCTCTTTGCCTCTGTCTGATCTGTCTTCTGTACTCTAGGAATGAACCGAGACACTTTTTCCTTTTCTTTGAAGCTACAGGCTTGGCAGAGCTACCAAATCATTTAAATGCCTGCCATCGGGTGTTCACAACTGGCTTTCCCATGCTGTCTCCTTCATCTTTCTCTGCTTTCTCATTACATTTCTGTTTGTCTGTCCCTGTCTTTGTATCTTTCTTTCCCTTGTCAATGAATGAGAAGAGTCACACTCTAAAAAACACTTGAAGAGATTTATCCTGAGCCAAATATGAGTGACCAATGGCCTGTGACACAGCCCCCAGGAGATCCTGAGAACCATGTGCCCAAGGTTGTCCGGCCACAACTTTTTTTTTTTTTTTTTGACACGGAGTCGCGCTCTATTGCCCAGGCTTGAGTGCACTGGCACGAACTTGTCTCACTGCAACCGCAACCTCCCAGGTTCAAGTGATTCTTCTGCCTCAGCCTCCCAAGTAGTTGGGACTACAGGCGTGCACCACCATGCCCAGCTAACTTTTGCCTTTTTAGTAGAGATGGGGTTTTGCCATGTTGGCCAGGCTGGTGTTGAGCTCCTGACCTCAGGTGATCCGCCCGCCTCAGCCTCCCAAAGTGCTGGGATTACAGGCGTGAGCCACCGCTCCTGGCCCACAACTTGATTTTATACACTTTAGGGAGACATAAGGCATCAACCAATGCACGTAAGATGTACATTAGTTCCATCCAGAAAGGCAGGACAAGTGGAAGCCAGGGTGTGCTTCCAAGTCATAGGGGGATTCAAAGAGTTTCTGATGGGCAATTGGTTGAGTTATTATCAATAGAAAGGAAGGTCTGGGTTACCATAAGGGGTTGTGGAGACCAAGGAAGGAAGGAAGGAAGGAAGGAAGGGAAGAAAATGCAGAGATCTTGTGCACCCTTTACCCAGTTTCTCCTAATGGTAACTAACATCTTACAAACCTCCAGTCCAATACCACAACCAGCATATTGATATTGACACAATCCACCTATCTTATTCAGATATCCTGTTTTACTTACATTGAGTGTGTGTGCAGATGAAGCCTCCAGATAGCAGGCTTCAGAGAAAATAGATTGTAATTTTAAAAAAAATCAGACTTAAAGTTCTCTTCTATCAGTAATTCCAAAAAGCAGGAGGCTATGATGAGGCACGTCCCACTCCCCCTTGCAATTATGGCCCGAACTGGTTTTTCAGGTTAACTTTGGAATGCCCTTGGCGGAGAGGACAGGATCCATTCAGATGGTTGCGGGGGGCCTTAGAATTTTAATTTTGGTTTACACCCTGAATACTCCCCCTTCTCTTCTGTTTTTTTTTTTGTTTGTTTGTTTGTTTGTCTTTTCTTTTCTTTCTTCTTTTTTAGAGACAGGGCTTCACTGTCTCTGGGCCCAGCCTGGAGTGTGGTGGTGAGATGACAGTTCACTGTAACCTCAATCCTGTGGGCTCCAAGGATCTTCCTGCTTCAGCTTTAAGTAGTCCCTAAGCAGCTGGAGCTGCAGGCACCCACCACCATGCCCAGATAATTCTTCTATTTTTTTTTTTGTAGAGATGGGGGTCTCACTCTGTTGCCCAGGCTGGTCTTAAATTCCTGGCCTCGAGCTGTCATCCCACCTTGGCCTCTCAAAGCACTGGGATTACAGGTGTGGGCCACTGCACCTGGCCCCCTCTCTCTGGTTTTTGTTCATCTGTGTCTCAGACGAGCTATCTCTGGCTTTCATATTGTTATATGAATATAATATTTATTTGTTTACCACTTAATAAAGTATTGTTAGTTTGCTGTTGAAAATTGGAATTACAGACATGTTTTTCTCAACTACTGTTTTGTGTGTGTATATATATATATATATAGCTAATATATACTCAGCACTTCCTGGCTCCATTCTAAGCTCTTCTCATGTAAATATCTGTTTTTTTTTTTTTCTCCCCAGCAACTGTTAGGTAGTTGACTGGTTATTGGCTGACATTTTGTAGAAGAAAGAACGGTGGCACAGAGAGGTTATGAATGAAACACGAGCTCACACAGCTTGTAGGTGTGAAATGGGGATTTGATCCCAGGCTCCCTGGGTTATTATTGGCAATACTCTGCCATCTCTCATCTGTATGACTGATCTATCCCATACAGAATAGCCTACATATGTTTTTTGTTTGTTTTTGAGATACAGTCTCGCTCTGTTCCCAGGCTGGAGTGCAGTGGTATGATCACAGCTCACTGTAGCCTCAACCTCCTGGGCTCAAGCGATCCTCCCACGTAGCTGAGACTATAGGCATGCACCACCATGCCAGCTAGTGTTTAAATTTTTTGTAGAGACAGGATCTCAGTATGTTGCCCAGGCTGGTCCAAACTCTTGGCCTCAAGCGATCCTCCTGCCTTGGCCTCCCAAAGTGTTGGGATTACAAGTGTGAGCCACTGCACCCAGCCCTAGGTATGTTTTGAGTAAGTCAGGCACGCTTCCTACTTGAGACCACTTTTAATTAATTCTAATTAGGTTTATATAAATATTGATAATTATGGGTAAGTAGTGACTGTTTTTCATGGTTATATGTCTTCCTCAGCATGAGTATGAGAAAATTATTTTATGGTTTGCCAGTGCATATTTTCCTATTCAAAGGCATAGAGGTTTTAAGAACCAGCAAAGCCTGGCCAACATGGTGAAACCCCGTCTCTACTAAAAATAAAAAAATTAGCTGGTCAGGTGGCACGTACCTGTAATCCCAGCTACTCAGGGGACTGAGGCAGGAGAACTGCCTGATCCAGGGATGGGGAGGTTGCAGTGAGCCGAGATTGTGCCACTGCACTCCAGCCTGGGTGGCAGAGAGAGACCCTGTCTCAAAAAAAAAAAAAAAAAAAAGATTTCAAAAAGTGTCCATGGAATATAATTTCCAAGCTTCTATCACCTCTCCCCAGTCTTTCCTGAGATCCCCCATTTCAGTTGGGGAGCTAAATAGTTTTGGGAAGATGATTTAGCCCCCTCCCCATCCCTGGGATGGGGTATGTGATCTGGCTGTAGCCATTTACATCAGTTTGTCTTCTTAGCCACAGTGATTGGGTTTGTGGTGGGCATGTGACCTAATCCAGTTCAATCAGAATGATCTTCGGTCCTGAACATCTTGGGAAAAAGATGCTGTTTTTTTGTTTTTTTTTTTTATCTACTGAAGAAAAATAAAACCTGAAGCCTGAAGCCTGGGATGCTGCTAGACCCATGTTGGATTTACAAGAGTAAACAGGCTTCTCATCAGCATAAGGGAGACCTGAAATATTTAAAAACAAACAAGCAAACAAACTGAGGCTGGGTGCCGTGGCTCATGCCTGTAACCTCAGAACTTTGGGGCCGAGGCAGGCAGATCACCTGAGGTTAGGAGTTCGAGACAGGCCTGGCCAACATGGTGAAACCCCGTCTCTACTAAAAATACAAAAATTAGCCAGGCATGGTGATGTGCACCTGTAACCCCAGCTACTCAGGGAGCTGAGGCAGGAGAGTTGCTTGAACCCTAGAGGCGGAGGTTGCAGTGAGCCGAGATCATGCCACTGCACTCCAGCCTGTGTGACTGAGTGAGACTCCATCTCAAAAAACAAACAAACAAACAAACAGACAACTAACCAACTGGGAGGTTACTCATGTCTTAAGCTGCTAGATCAAACTTAACCTGAAGCCTCACCACTAACCCTAGGCTTCTCAGTTTTGTAAGCTCAAAAATTCTCCAGTGTTCAAGCCAGCATGAGTTGAGTTTTTGGTTATTTACAACCAAAAGTGTCCTAACTGATAGATACCATGAGGCCGAAATAAAATTATATATGTCCAAAGACTGAAGAACTAGAAGGAAAATTAGTAATGGCAGAAAGAACGGAGTGTCATAGATTGGTTGGAGGAAAGCGCCAGATGCAAATTATTGACAATCAGTGATCCAGCTCTGACCACCACAGAGCAGGTTATGTGCAATAAAAAATTCAATTTAATGCTGTCCCAATAGAAATGTGTCTTGTGATCCACTGCTTGAGACCCCTAGTCTGTTAGAAACACTACTTCAGGAATTTAAGAAATAATAAAAAGCTTTGGAGAACATTTATTTGTGAGTATAACTCAAAAATGATCTAGGAACTGGATCACTCATACATTGCTGGTGGGAATGGAAAAATGGTGCAGCCATTCTGAAACACAGTTCAGTAGTTTCCTGTAAAACTAAATATGCAACTCCTAGTTGGCCCAGAATGGTATGCCTGGATATTTATTCCAGAGAAATGGAAACCTATGTCCATGCAATAACATAGTTATTTGCTTTGCAAATGATCACAGCAACTTTATTTGTAATAGCCCAAACTACAAAGCCCAGTTGTCCTCCAAAAGGTGCATGATTACACAAATTCTGGCAAATATATACCATCAAATAGGAATGAACTATTGATACATGCAACAACTTGGATGAATATCCAGAGAATTATGCTGAGTGAAAAAAGCCCATCCCAGAAGGTTACATACTACTTCATTATCATACACACACACACACACACACACACACACACACACACACACACACATTTTTTAAAGTTGAGAGTCTTGCCCTGTCACCTAGGCTGGAGTGCAGTTGCAAAATCATGGCTCACTTCAGCCTTGACCTCCTGGGCTCAAGCAATCCTCTCACTTCAGCCTCCAGAGTAGCTGAGACCACAGGCACATGCTGTGGGCGGCAAGCCATCCAGGTGCCGAGGCAAGAGGCTGAAGGCACAAGCTGTTCCAGTATAATAAAGAAAATAATTATAATAAGAAAAGTTATACTAGAAATAGGATATAGATATGATTATATATGAATATTATCAATCATTAGTTTGTAGTATTACTCTTTGTTTTATTATTATAGTAATTTCTGTTTTATAATTATAACCTAGGAGAAAACAGGCCGTACAGAGTCAGGGCTAAAGGGACACTGTGAGAGGTGACCAAAAGACAAGAGTGTGAGCCCTCTGTCACGCCCGGATAAAGGCCGTTTGAGGGCTCCTTGGTCTAGCGGTAGCGCCAGTGCCTGGGAGAGCACCCGTTACTTAGCAGACCGGGAAAGGGAGTCTCCCTTTCCCTGGGGGAGTTAGAGAACACTCTGCTCCACCAGCTCTTGTGGGAGGCCTGACATTAGCCAGGCCTGCCCGCAGTCATCTGGAGGCTTAAACGTCTCCCCATGGTGCTGTGCTTCAACGGTCACGCTCCTTGTCCACTTTCATGTTCCGCCTGTACACCTGGCTCCTCTTTTTGAGTTCTTAGAAGATAACAGTAACAGAATTAGTGAAAGTATTAAAGTCTTTGATCTTTCTGATAAGTGCATAGAAAAAATGCTGACGTATGCTGTCCTCCCTCTCCGCCTCAGCTACCACAAAGGGAAAGGCCCCCTGTCATGTGGACACGTGACTCACGTGACCTTATCAATCACTTGACATGACTCATACTCCTTACCCTGCCTCCTTGCCTTGTATACAATAAATAGCAGTGCGTCCAGGCATTTGAGGCCACTACCAGACTCCGCACATTGGTGGCAGTGGTCCCCTGGGCCCAGTTGTCTTTCCTTCTATCTCTTTGTCTCGTGTTTTTATTTTCCTACAATCTCTCGTCTCTGCACACAAAGAAAAAACCCACAGGCCATTGGGGCTAGACTCTACAACATGCCACCGTGCCTGGCTAATTTTTGTATTTTTTGTAGAGACAGGGTTGCCCTATATTGTCCAGGCTGGTCTCAAATTCCTGGGCTCTAAGTGATCCTCCCACCTCAGCCTTCCAAAGTGCTGGGACTACAGGCATGAGCCACTGCACCTGGGCTATATAACATTTTTCAAATGAGAAAAATTTGAAAGTGGAGAATAAATTAGTTGTTTCAAGGAGTTAGGGAAAGATGGTGGAGGGAGGAAGGTGGGTGTGGTTATAAAAAAGGGCCAGGTGCGGTGGCTCACGCCTGTAATCCCAGCACTTTGGGAGGCCGAGGCAGGCAGATCACGAGGTCAGGAGATCAAGGCAATCCTGGCTAACACGGTGAAACCCCGTCTCTACTAAAAAAAAAATACCAAAAATTAGCCAGGCGTGGCGGCGGGCATCTGTAGTCCCAGCTACTCTGGAGGCTGAGGCAGGAGCATGGTGTGAACCTGAGAGGTGGAGGTTGCAGTGAGCTGAGATCTCGCCACTGCACTCCAGCCTGGCGACAGAGCAAGACTCTGTCTCAAAAAAAAAAAAAAAAAAAAAGATGGCATGGCCCCAAGGATATTCATGGTGATGGAACTCTTCTGTCTTTACTGTGGTGATGCATACATGAACCTAAGCATGTGATGAAATTATATAACTAAATTGTATACAGTAAACTGTATGACTAAACACACACACAAGAATACACAAACACACTCAATGCAAGTAAAACTGGGGATATTTGAATAAGATGGGTGGACTGTATTAATGTCAATATCCGGCTGCGGTATTGGACTAGCATTTTGTAAGATATTACCATTGGGGGAAACTGGATAAAGGGTGCACAGAATCTCTAATATTTCTTTCTTTCTTTTTCTTTTTGAGACAGGGTCTCGCTCTGTCACCATGCTGGAGTGCAGTGGCACCATCACGGCTCACTGCAGCCTCCACCTCCCAGGCTCAAGTGATCCTCCCACCTCAGGCCCCTGAGTAGTTGAAACTACAGGTGGGTGCCACCACACCCAGCTAATTTTTATATCTTGTGTGTGGAGATGGGCTCTTGCTATGTTGCCCAGGCTGGTCTTGAACTCCTGGACTCAAACAATCCTCCTGCCTTGGCCTCCCAAATTGTTGGGATCATAGGCATGAGCCACCAAGCCTAGCCTGAATTTTTGCTTATAGCAGCATGTGAGTCTTTAATGACCTCAGTCTCAAACATTTCTATTAAGAAAACTCAGGGGAAAAAAAATAGAAATCTTCAGGAAGTAGATGACCTACTTGAACATTTAAGCACGGGAAAAGTGGGCAGGGTTAAGGAAGACACAAGAGGTGGTGGTGCACCCAGAGGCAAGTAACAGGGGGAGCTGTTAGCACTCCTAGGCATGACAGGACAAAGACTGTGGCTGTAGATAGAGGATCACGGCCACTGTCTAACTCCAGACTTGCAGGGGGCAGCCAGCAAATAGGAGAATAAACACCCCCACCTTGCTCTCTGCCCTCCCTCAATCTCCTGCCAGCACCTCCACTGGCTAAACACCAACCATAAGCAAGAGGGCAGGCAAGCCTCAGAGGTGCAGATCAGGAGGGGTCAGTGAACACCCACACAGCAGCAAAGTGGCAGAGGATAAGGACAACGTTTTACAAAGCCATTATCAGAAGCTCTAGAGGCCAGTCTCTCCTGGTGCAGGGACTCTCACACCTGTAATCCCAGCACTTTGGGAGGCCAAGGTGGGTGGATCACTTGAGGTCAGGAGTGCCAGGCCAGCCTGGCCAACATGGCGAAACCCCGTCTCTGCTAAAAACACAAAAATTAGCTAGGTGTGATGGTGGGTGCCTGTAATCCTAGCTACTTGGGAGGCTGAGGTAGCAGGATTGCTTGTACCTGGGATGCAGTAAGCTGAGATTTCACCACTGAGTTCCATCCTGGGTGACACAGCGAGACTCTGTCTCAAAAAAACAAAAAGAGAAGCTCTAGAAATTGGATTAATGTACTTTTTAAGAAAGTCTCACAAATGATCTACCCGACCAGCAACTGAAGAAGCAGTGAGCTACCATTTCCCTCATATCCAGTGAGTTTGTTTGTTTTACTGTTTAGTTAGGCAGAATTCATTCTCCTTGTAAGAAATTAAAATACGGCCAGGCGCAGTGGCTCATGCCTGTAATCCCAGTGCTTTGGGAGGCTGAGGCAGGCAGATTGCCTGAGGTCAGGAGTTCGAGACCAGCCTGGCCAACGTGGTGAAACCCCATCTGTACTAAAAATACAAAAATTAGCCAGGTGTGGTGGCTAATTTTTACAGACACCTGTAATCCCAGCTACTTGGGAGGCTGAGGCAGGATAATCGCTTGAACCTGGGAGGCGGAGGTTGCGGTGAGCGAAGATCATGCCGCTGCACGGCAGCCTGAACGACAGAGCAAGACTCCGTCTCAAAAAAAAAAAAAAAAAAAAAGAAATTAAAATATTGCTAATACATTTAAATATTCCAGTGATCATCTCCTCAGTTCCCATGCTCTCTCCAGTGATAAATAACTCACTATTAATCAGTTTGGGACATATCCTTGCACACTTTTTTATACATTTCTAAACATTTTATATATTATCCATATTTTATATATTTGCATAATGCATGTATAGCTCCCAAGGAAATATGTCTGTATGATTTAGGAAATCATATTTAGGAAATCATATTTAGGAAATCATATTTAGGAATCATATTCCTAAATCATATTTAGGAAATCATGATTTAGGAAATCATATTTCCCAAGGAAATATGTCTGTATGATTGCTTTAATTAGAGTTTTTACTTTGACATAATTGTGGATTCACGTGCAATTGTAAGAAATAATGCAAAGAGATAGGTTCTTGGGAGGTGCAGGGAGGTGGGCGCGGGTCCCAGTGGTCATGGGGTCAGCGGCCTTGGGTCTGTTGGAGGGGGCAAGTGCACAGTGGTCCTGGCGGCGCCATGTCATTCTGCAGCTTCTTCGGGGGCAAGGTTTTCCAGAATCACTTTGAGCCAGGCGTCTATATGTGTGCCAAGTGTGGCTATGAGCTGTTTCCCAGCCGCTCAAAGTACACATACTCATTCCCCTGGCCGGTGTTCACCAAGACCATCCGTTCTGACAGCGTGGCCAAGCGCCCAGAGCACAATCATCCTGAAGTCTTGAAGGTGTCTCGTGCAAGTGTGGCAACACGTTGAGCCACAAGTTCCTGAACGATGGCCCCAAGCTGCGGCAGTCCCGATTCTGAATGAATATTCAGCAGCTCGCTGAAGTTTGTCCCTAAAGGCAAAGAAACTTCTGCTTCCCAGGCGCACTAGGCGGGCAGCCCACACCGACCCCAGATGGCCACGGCACTAAGGCCACACACTGGCCATTCTACCATGGAATTCGAGACCTGGACATTGAGACAGGAAGGCAGGGCACAATGGCTGAAACATCAAGGCTCCCAAGGCCGCAGCTCTGAACAAGATCTTGTTTCTTGGAAAAGTCACTTATTTGCTGATGGTTCCTGCCTTCTGCTAGGACAGGCTTGGGCTGTGTGGCCACACTGTCGGCTGACTTAGCCTCCTGCTCACCTGATAAGGCATCTCAGGGGTGTGGTCTGGGCGTGGCTGGTCTTTGAATGATGTTACGCCCGACCTTCGACCTTTCCTTCCCGGTCCTGCCTCTGGACTCACCCCTGTGGGGCCCAATTTCAAGACAGACTCTCATCCTCACCAAAGCTTAGGCCCACATCTCCCAGGCTGCTTACGAGACAGAATGGAAATGGAGGCTGCCCTTGACAGCTGCCCCGGCTCTGGTCGCCACATGATCCGCTGTGGTTAAACCCTTCCAGACCAGCCAGGTGATGATGGTCCGTGACCCACCAGGAAAGCAGGCTGATGGGGCAGACCCCTGGCCTCTTGTCCAAGAGGGGAGAAACCTAAACCCTGTTTCACAACCTGCGCAGAAGTAGCTTGGGTCACTCGGGCTTAGGAAAGCGGCTGTTGCTTCATTACTTTACCCAGCATGGGGCTGGGGGCCTGCAGTTCACCTGCAGAGAGCTCCCCAAGATATGACTGTGTGTCTTACTGTACATGCTCGGAGGTCTTCCCACAGGTGAAGGTGGGCGATGCTGAAATCACCCCCCCACCCATCTTAAGCATCTTAAGTAATTACCTTCTGGAGTAATCAGGCGGAAATCAATAAACAAATGAAACGTGCAAAAAAAAAAAAAAAAAAAAGAATGCAAAGAGTTACTGTGTACCCTTTACCCAGTTTCCCCCAATGGTAACATCTTGCGAAAACCATGGTATTATATCACATAGAGAATATTGACATTGTGTATTAGTCCATTCTTATACTGCTATGAAGATGCTACCTGAGACTGGGTAATTTATAAAGGAAAGAGGTTTAATTGACTCGCAGTTCTGCATGGTTGGGGAGGCCTCAGGAAATTTACAATTATGATGGAAGGGAAAGCAGGCACCTCTTACATGGTGGCAGGAGAGAGAGACAGTGAAAGAAGGAGGAACTTCCAAATACTTAAAACACCATCAGATCTCGTGAGAACTCACTCACTATCACAAGGACAGCATGGGGGAACCACCCCCATGATCAGATCCAATCACTTCCCACCAGGTCTGTCCCTCAACACCTGGGGATTACAATTCAAGATGAGATTTAGGTGGGCACCCAAAGCCTAACCATATCACATTGATACAGACAAGATACAAAACACTCCATACCACAAGATCCCTTGTGTTGCCCTTTCAGTAGCCACGTCCACTCCTCTCCCATCCGACCCCTTCCTTAACCTCTGTCAACCACTAATCTGCTCTCCATTTCTATAATTTTGTCATCTCAAGAATGTTGGAATGGAAACATACCAGCCTGGCCAACAAAGTGAGACTGCATCTCTGGGGAAAAAAAGAAAAGTTAGCTGGGCCTGGTGGCACGTGCCTACTACAGGTAGCTGGCGCCCCAGCTACTTGTGAGGCTGGGGTGGGAGGATGGCTTGAGCCTGGGTGATGGAGGCTGCAGTGAGTGGCGATTGTGCCACTACTATGCTCCAGCTTGGGCTACAGACTGAGACCATGTCCAAAAAAACAAAAACAAAAAGCAACCTCTGCTCTGCAAAAGACACTGTTGAGGAAATGAAAAACCTGCCACCCTACCAATCAGGGGTTGGTTATTAAATGATCCTGCTGGAATGGAAGCTCTAATAGTGGTGTGGGGGTGGGGGATGTCTTCCGTTTGCCCCTCCTTATCTACTGTCCCTGCTTCTCCAACCTACTCTGGGCCCCAGGTAGAGGGGAGAGGAGGTCAGGTGTTTTTTCCCCAGGGCTCCTCCCTGTGCTGGGCCACCACAATTCATCTGTTTCCTCCACAAATCTAAGTGACTCTCTCCTCCCCAAGTCAGGCAACCACATGCACACCCTCAACCCTCTCCCCTTCCTTTAGGCCTGTGGATGAGGCCCCTCACCCATGCTGGCCCCAGGAGCTTGCACTAGCTCTTGTCATTTGCCTTTACTATCCAATCGCTTTATAAAGGCTTCTGGTATCAACCCCACCTCAAATTATCCTAAATTGACGGGCCATCTGTTTCCTGCTGGGCCCTAACTGATACGCTATAATTAAAGATGTGGGAGAATGCAAATGAGAGATAATGGTAAGACATAAAAAGCCAGCTACCAAACTGTATACAGCATGGTTCCAATTTGGGTGAAATTGCTCACAGAAAGGAAAACAAAAGGAGGAACAGTGACAAATTGTTAAAAAATATTTACCTCCAGGAGGTGAAATACAAGACTTACTTTAACTCTCCATGTTGTATGTTTTTGTATGGATGGAATCTTTTACAAGGAACAAGTGTTACTTTGGTAGTCAGAAAACATATGCACAAATAAACACATGGAAAATTCCTATGTATTGGGACGATTTGTTCCAGAAGTGGGATGAGGGATGAGAGGAGGATGGTGAAGTTATAGGTGATGTTTTTTTTCTTTTATGTTTTTGTGTATTTTTCAAGCTTTATCCACTGAACATGCATGGCTAATTTTATCAGAAAAAGAAGTAGATTTTATGTTTAAACAAAAAGAGATTGATTGAGACAGACAGAGCGACCTGGGGCAGGATGCTTGTTGGAAAAATGAATAAGAAAGATGGAGTCACGCCAGAGACAGAGACAGGAACAGAGAGAGAGAGAGAAAGAGAAAGCAAGACACAGGAGGAGACGCTGAAAAAGATAAGGGCAGTTATGGCATAGAGAACAAGCTTTGAAACTGCAGAGTGTGTGGGTTCAAACCCCACCTCTGCCATTTATTAGCTGTGTATCTTGGAACAGTTCCTTTACTTTCCTGGGCCTCAGTTTTCCATCTGTAAAATAAGGTAATAGAACCTCCCTTTTGTGTCTTTTTTTTTTTTTGAGACGGAGTTTCACTTTTGTTGCCCAGGCTGGAGTGCAATGGCGTGATCTCGGCTCACTGCAACCTCCGCCTCCCGGGTTCAAGTGATTCTCCTGCCTCAGCCTCCCGAATAGCTGGGATTAAAGGCATGCACTACCATGCCTGGCTAATTTTGTATTTTTAGTAGAGATGGGGTTTCTCCATGTTGGTCAGGCTGCTCTCGAACTCCTGACCTCAGGTGATCTGCCCACCTCGGCCTCCCAAAGTGCTGGGATTACAGGCATGAGCGACTGTGCCTGGTTTGTGTCTTTTTTTTTTTTTTTTTTTTTGAGACAGTCTCTCACTCTGTCGCCCAGGCTGGAGTGCCGTGGCACAATCACAGCTCACTGCAGCCTCAACCTCCCAGACTCAAGGGATCCTTTCATCTCAGCCCCATGAGTAGCTGGGACTACAGGTGTGTGCCACTGTCAGAGGCATTTGAACCAGAGCGACTCCATCTTGAGTGAGGGCTAGGAAAAAGGAGGCTGGGACCTGCTGAGCTGCATTTCCAGGAAGTTAGGCATTCCTAGCCTCTAGATGTTTACTGTTAATGGAACAGATTGATAACATTTACTAAAGAGACTCAGGCTCAGGAATGTCCTGAAATCTCGGTATCTTGAGAACAGAAGCATTCTTCATCAGAAGCATTCCTCGTTTTGCTTTAAAGATAGTAATATCGGTTTTTGCAAAATATGATAATTAAGAAATTTAATCCTTTGTCACAAACCCTGGTAGCAGAGCACATCTCCCCATGATATTTTTTGTTATAAACAAGCATTGTACCTAGGGTGGGCCCATTCCTCCTCTTATTTTCAGGAACACCCTACTCTGTCTATGGAGTAGCTATTCCTTCGCCACTTTGCTTATTTTTTTCTCGCTCTGTCACCCAGGCTGGAGTGCAGTGGCGCAACCTTGGCTCACTGCAATTCTCCTGCCTCAGCCTTCCAAGTAGCTGGAACTACAGGTGTGCACCACCACACCCGGCTAATTTTTTTGTATTTCTAGTAGAGACAGGGTTTTGCCATGTTGGTCAGGCTGGTATTGAACTCCTGACCTCAAGTGATCCACCTGCCTCGGCCTCCCAAAGTGCTGGGATTACAGGTGTGAGCCACTGCACCCAGCCACCACTTTACTTTTTAAAATAAACTTGCTTTTGCTTTGCACTGTGGACTCGCCCCAAATTCTTTCTTGCACAAGATCTAAGAACCCTCTCTTGGGGTCTGGATCAGGATGCTTTTCCAGTAACACCACCATGCCCAGCTAATTTTTAAATCCCTTACTTTTTGTAGAGACAGGGTCTCACTATATTGCCCAGGCTGGTCTCGAACTCCTGGGCTCAAACAATCCTCCCTCCTCAGCCTCCCAACATGCTGGGATTACAGGCCTGAGCCACTGTACCCGGGCTTGTGTCATTTTTGACAATGAAATTGTCACCTGTAAATGCAGTTCTTTCCCTACTCTGCATTGGTTGCAAAGAAAGAACACCCAATTGGAAACAAAAAGGCAAGCAGGTTTTATTCCTAGCTAGGATGGGGAAGGAGAGAACTCTTGCTCTAAAGACACCTTATTGCTGGGCGAGCTCATGCCTGTAATCCCAGCACTTTGGGAGGCCAAGGCGGGCGGATCACCTGAAGTCAGGAGTTTGAGGCCAGCTTGGCCAACATGGTGAAACCCCATCTCTACTAAAACTACAAAAAACTAGCCAGGCATGGTGGCATGTGCCTGTAATCCCAGCTACTCAGGAGGCTGAGACAGGAGAATTGCTTGAACCCGGGAGGTGGAGGTTGCAGTGAGCCGAGATCACGCCACTGCACTCCAGCTTGGGCAACAAGGGTGAAACTCCATCTCAAAAAAAACAAAAAACAAAAAACACCTTATCGCCCAGCTGTGGGGAGCTGGGAAATTTTAAGGAGTTAGCTGTGGGGTGGGGAGGTATGTAAGCATGCGCAGAGAGCAACTCCAGACGCAGGTGCAGATCATAAGCATGCCTCTTCATATGATGTATGTTCAGCAAATGGTGAGCGTATTTTCCTCCATGGGTAGGGAGTTTACCATGATAATTATATATTAATGATCTAAAGGTAACCGTGGGTCACTGTGTCTGGTTTGCACTTGTTTTGCCCCAGCCTTTTCTTCCTCCAGTAATAAGCAAAGGAAGCGTCCTGAAGCTCGTGTGGCCTTTCGGGCATCTGCAGTTCTTTTAATCAATGCACCCATAGATAAAGAGACTAGAAAAAAACGGTTTAAGAAAATAATGAGGCCAGGTGCAATGGATCATGCCTGTAATCCAAGAATTTTGGGAGGCTGAGGCGGGCAGATGTCTTGAGCTCAGGCGTTAGAGACCAACCTGGGCAACATGGCGAAACCAGGTTGCTACAAAAAATGGTGGTGGCACCCACCGGTAGTCCCAGCTACTATGGAGAATGAGGTGGGAGGATTGCTTGAGCCTGGGAGGTTGAGTCTGAAGTGAGCTGTGACTGCACCACTACTACAGGCTGGGCAACAAAGCAAGACTCTGTCTCTGAAATAAAATAAAATAAAATAAAATAAATTAAGCGTTCTCTTTCTCAGCTACACCTCCAGGGCTGCCCTGGTACAAAAATGAGATGATATGTCTGTGTCAATTACATAGAAGAGAGCCTGATGCACAGTCAACACTACACAAGGGCTGGTTGTGATTGCAGAACGAAGATAAAGACAACCAGGGTGAAGCAAAGAAAGAGGAAACAGACAGTAGAAACAGGGACAGAGACAATTTGGAAACCGAGTGTTGGAGGGCAGCCATCCCGGGCACAGGCCAACCTCGGGTTGAAGTCCTCACACCCGACTGGGATCCCAGAGGCCTGGGGCCAGCTCTGATGTTGGGAAAGCTTGCCCTGGACGGGAAAGCCCGGCTGCAAACCCCATTCTCAGCCCTGCGCATAAAAGCCAGCATGGACCGTCGAGGCACTGTTGCCCAGGTGGAGACGGCTCTGGACGCCTCCCAGGGGACAGTGGACGGCAGCACCTGCTGCAGCACGAGGCACAGAGGGTGCACTGCAGACAGGAGTGAGGGCAGAGGCCAAGGCGAGGAGGGGGCCGGCTCCCACTCTCTCTCCCACTGTGTGTGCTGTGCCTTCACGCTCCGAGCATTGCCTTCCCTGGGATCCTAACCCAAGGCGGGGGGCTGGACGCGCTGGACCCTCTCTTTGGCTTCCCTGACGTCTCTCGCCTGCTGCAGAAGCAGAGATGCGGCCGAGTGTCTGGGCCGCAGTGGCCGCGGGGCTGTGGGTCCTGTGCACGGTGATCGCAGCGGCCCCCCGGCGCTGCCTGCTCTCGCACTACCGCTCGCTGGAGCCCCGGACGCTGGCGGCTGCCAAGGCGCTGAGGGACCGCTACGTAAGTCACCGCCCAGCCCCTGTGCCCCCTGGGACCCTGGCCCCACCGGGTTCCCATACACCCGTTCCTGTCCCAAGGGGTCCTGCGTCCTAGCGCCCAGCAGGCGCCTCTCCTATGTCAGCGCCCACAATTCCCACCACGAGACCCCCGCAGTCCCCGTCGTCAGCGCGAACGCAGGCTCAGGGTCAATCACAGAAGGGAGCCCTGCCGGGAGGACTCGGCTCCAGGTCGGGGCGAGGGGCTTTGCTGGGGGAGCGCGGAGTGCAATTCAACCCTGGTTCGCGCCTTCGGGGAGCTCCCTGGTTCAGTACACGACAGGCACGACCGTGCGCTGCCAGTACCCATCCACGTCCAGGAATCCCAGACTGTGCAGAGGTTAGGGGCCCTGGCGAGGGGGCCTAGCCGTATGCGATAAGCGCCGCTTGTCCCGCAGGAGGAAGAGGCGCTGAGCTGGGGGCAGCGCAACTGCTCCTTCCGCCCCAGGAGGGATCCTCCGCGGCCATCGGTGAGGCCCGGGAGTGGGCGGGAGAGGCATGGCCCGGGCGCGGCCCGCTCTAACGCCCTCTCGTCCCCGCAGTCCTGCGCTCGGCTCCGCCACGTGGCCCGGGGCATCGCGGACGCCCAGGCAGTGCTCAGCGGCCTGCACCGCTCGGAGCTGCTCCCCGGCGCCGGCCCGATCCTGGAGCTGCTGGCGGCCGCGGGGAGGGATGTGGCGGCCTGCGTGAGTGACGGCCGCGCCCCGCCGCCCCTCTCCCCCGCCAGCTTCTCTGCATCCTCAGGCCCACGGCGAGCCCCAGCGCTTTGCCAATCTGTCCTGCTTAGCGGAAAAACCCATCCAGACCGGAGTCGGGTCCTCTGGGTGTCCTGAAATCCGGGCTCGAGTCTGCGGCTGGGAGGGCCACGGGCAGATGCAGAGAGGGGCTTCGTCCTTCGCCTTTTCCATTTGCCTCATGTCCCACCTCCAGCTTGAGCTGGCACGGCCAGGCTCCTCCAGGAAGGTCCCCGGGGCCCAGAAGAGGCGTCACAAACCCCGGAGAGCGGTGAGTGCAACAGGCAATACAGGGTTAGCCCGCAGGGAGGACCAGGCGAGGCTGACAAGGACGGGACTGAGGCTGCGAGCAGCGGGACTGGAGGGGGATTCCGGGGGCGGGGGGAAGAGCCTGGCTTAGCCCCGCTGCCCTCCCTCCCTGGCTCCAGGACTCGCCTCGGTGCCGCAAAGCCAGCGTGGTCTTCAACCTCCTGCGCCTGCTCACGTGGGAGCTCCGGCTGGCTGCACACTCTGGGCCTTGCCTCTGACCCCGCCCCCTCTGGCAGCACGGAAACCTCCACGCCATTGGCTGCCGAAAGCAGCTCCTGTCGTCCATTGGGCTGGCCGGGCGAGGCTCTCAGTCAATGGGTGCTGAGGCACGAAAACTTCTTCGCAGCCTTGGGCCTGACTTGGATCCACTGTCTCAGATATAAGAGGAGCGGGTCCTTCTACAGGGAAGAGACCACAGTTCTCCAGGAAGCCACGATATTTCCTCGGGGTGCATTGTACGACCCTCCAACGGTTGCTGTGGCAGGAAAAAACTTGAGCTCTGGAAACCGTGGCTGACCCCAGGCAACAGGGACCAGTTCCTCCTTGTGTGGTTACCAGGACACCCCCAACACCAGGTCCTAACCCCGGATTTGTAGCCCCACAGCCAGCTTTGAGATTCTGTGAATCCGTGACTCTTGGATCCGGCATCTAAGGGACACCAATCCATGAGGGATTTGGTAGTGAAAGGCCCAAGGGTCCTTAACCGACTGTGGTTCTTTGGATTCCCTTACGTGTGTTTGTATTTGTGAAGTTCCTGTGCATTTGCTATTCTGTCTCCCGGTTTAAATTTATTGCCAGTTATCAAAGAGTGTTTTGATCGCATTGGTTGTTTTCCGTATGATGATTGTGAGGTGCACCTTACAGCAAAAAAAGAGGCCGAGCCAGGGACTCAGGTGGCCTGAGTTTCAGTTCTGACCCTGCCAGTTAATTACAGTGGAATTCAGGGCAAATTACTTTTCTGAGCCTCTGTTTCCTCACCTATAGGATGGGTTAGCATACTTGCCTTGTGGAGGAGTAGTGTCCGTTGAGATCACGTTTTAAACTCTCCAGCTGAGGTCCTAGTATGGTCTTAATGAGTGGATTCTATTAAATAATCACTCACATAAATACACAAACAATTGTGTTATTAATTTTTTCTCCAAATCTGTGCATTAGCAATCTGCGTTGCTGAATGCACCCCTCCTTGCCAAGGTCACACGGCTAGTGAGGGTCAGAACCAGGTTTGAACCCCAGACCCTTCATCTCCAAGACCCATGCTCTTCACCACTGCCTGAACTTCCCTAAGAAAGACGGCACCCACGTGGTGTCCTTCAAGTCCTTCGTCACACCTCAATTCTTGAGCAGAGCCTCATATTCCTGAGTCCTTCCTTGCCTGGGCAATTAAGAAATATTGGCCTCTGGGCATGGTGGCTCACACTGAAATCCCAGCAATTTGGGAGGCCTAGACAGAGAGATGACTTGACATCAGGAATTTGAGACCAGCCTTGCCAACATGGTGAAACGCCATCTCTACTAAAAATATAAAAATTAGCTGGGAATGGTGGCACAAATCTGTAATCTCAGCTACTTGGGAGGCTAAGGCAAGAGAATTGCTTGAACCCAGGAGGCGGAGGTTGCAGTTAGCCAAGATTTTGCACTGCACTCCAGCCTGGGTGACCGAACAAGACCCTGTCTCAAAATATATATATATATATATATATATATATGCCAGGAGTGGTGGCTCAGGCCTGTAATCTCAGCACTTTAATAGGCTGGGTGAGGAGGATGGCTTGAGCCCAGGAGTTTGAGGCTGCAGTGAGCTGTGATCATGCCATTGCACTGCAGTGACAGAGTGAGACCCTGTCTTAAACAACAACAAAACCAGAGCAGGTGGAATCCTCTTGGGAACATACCTTCCTGTAGGTTACCCCTGAGTCTCCATCAGTTTCTCTTTCCCTCCAGCTGCTCATCTGGCTCACTAGCCCTGCCCTGCTCTGGGCTTTCCCAGCCTGGGGCTCCCCTGGTGGCCGGTGTCTTACCTGAGGCTGTGTTTTCACTTTTCCTACATCAGCTGGGACTGCCCTTCTGTCAGGGATAAAAGCTGCCCCATGGAGCTCAGGCAGGAATTACATCCCAGACAGAGCTCAAAACTGACAGAAAGAGTCAAAGCCAGGACACAGTCTGAGATCCAGAAGAGGGGACTGAAAAGAACAGAGACTCCAGACAAGACCCAAACAGACCCTGGGTGACAGCCTCAGAGTGTTTCTTCTGCTGACAAAGACCAGAGATCAGGAATGAAACTAGGTGAGTCCCACATCTCTGTCCGTGCTCAGCTCCTGCAGCCCCTGCCCTCAGTGGGCAGCCTCTGCATTCCCTCAGCTCCCTTTCTCTCTGTGACACAGACATGACCGGGGACTGCATGCCAGTGCTGGTGCTGATGGCCGCAGTGCTGACCGTGACTGGAGCAGTTCCTGTCGCCAGGCTCCGCGGGGCTCTCCCGGATGCAAGGGGCTGCCACATAGCCCAGTTCAAGTCCCTGTCTCCACAGGAGCTGCAGGCCTTTAAGAGGGCCAAAGATGCCTTAGTGAGTCTCCCCCTGCCCTCCTGCCATGGACTAGCCTCCACCCGCACTCCAAGGGTCACCATGCTTTCCCACTCCCAGCTTCCTTCACTGGGCTAGCCTCCACCCTCCCTGCAGTGGGCTATCTCATGCTCCTACTGCAGGGACTGACTCATGTTTTCCTGAAGAAGAGGGTCCTCTACCATCCTCCCAGCAGTTAACCTCCCCTATCCTGTTGTCAGCCATCCTCCAATCCCATCAGAGTGGTCTAACCTCCACCCCTCCTGCTGGGGCTAACCTGTGCCTTTGCTGTCTAGGAAGAGTCGCTTCTGCTGAAGGACTGCAAGTGCCGCTCCCGCCTCTTCCCCAGGACCTGGGACCTGAGGCAGCTGCAGGTGAGAGGGGGAGTCAGGCCCACCCCTGCCCTCCCAGCCCTGCTCACCTGGCTCTGTAGTGGCCCCTTCACCTTCTCCTTCTCCATTGTCCCTCTCTCCTCTCCCCACACCTGCTACCCCTTCCCTCTGCTCCTACCTGACCACACTGGCTGTGCCCTCTCCCCTGTGCCTGTCACCTTCACTTGTTCCTCTCTATCCTCCTCCCCCAACCTGTTCCCCTCACCTCCCCCCTCACCTGCTCTTTCTCACCTCTCCTCAGGTGAGGGAGCGCCCCGTGGCTTTGGAGGCTGAGCTGGCCCTGACGCTGAAGGTTCTGGAGGCCACCGCTGACACTGACCCAGCCCTGGGGGATGTCTTGGACCAGCCCCTTCACACCCTGCACCATATCCTCTCCCAGCTCCGGGCCTGTGTGAGTCGTCAGGGCCCGGGCACCCAGGTCTGTGAGCTCTGAGCAGCGTCCTTCCCCTGGCCAAGGCCCCGGCTCACACACCGCCCTCCTCTGCCCACAGATCCAGCCTCAGCCCACGGCAGGGCCCAGGACCCGGGGCCGCCTCCACCATTGGCTGCACCGGCTCCAGGAGGCCCCAAAAAAGGTGAGTGACCCGGGAAGAGAGGGACTGAGGTCTGGGGAGCCACTGGGAGCCCAGAACCCAGACAGCCCCTGACCCATCCCCTCCTCCCTACAGGAGTCCCCTGGCTGCCTCGAGGCCTCTGTCACCTTCAACCTCTTCCGCCTCCTCACGCGAGACCTGAATTGTGTTGCCAGCGGGGACCTGTGTGTCTGACCCTTCCGCCAGTCATGCAACCTGAGATTTTATTTATAAATTAGCCACTTGGCTTAATTTATTGTCACCCAGTCGCTATTTATGTATTTGTGTATGTAAATCCAACTCACCTCCAGGAAAATGTTTATTTTTCTACTTTTTGAAATCCTTGTTGAAATAAACAATGAGGAAAAGACACCCATGACGTGGGACTGTGTGTGCGTTGGTGTGTATTTCCTTTGCATTGCTGCCATAACAAATTACCCTAAAAGTAGCATCTAGAACAGCAGGTTCATTGAGTCTGTGCTGTCCACTGGGGTCCCCAGGTCACATGTCACTATCGAGCACCTGGAATGTAGGTGGTGCAACCTCATTTTTTCAGTGAGTGTAAAACATACCCCAGAATTTGAAGATTTACTGTGGAGAAAAAAAAAAAAGTAAAACAGCTTAATTATAATTTATATATTCATTAGATGTTGAAATGATAGCACTTTGGATGTATTGGGTGAAATGAAGCATCTTTAAAATTAATTTAGAGCCTGGATGTGATTGCTCAAGCCTGTAATCACAGCACTTTGGGTGGCTGAGTTGGGAGGATCACTTGAGCCCAGACCAGCCTGGGCAACATAGCAAGATCCTGTCTCTATAAAAAATTAGAGAATTGGCTGGGTGTGGTGGCACAAGCCCATAATCCCAGCTACTGGTGGAAGCTGAGATGGGAGGACTGTTTGAGGTCAGGAGTTCACGACCAGCCTGAGCAACAGCAAGATCCTGTCTCTTGCGTGATCACATCTCACTGTAGCCTCAAACTCCTGGGCTCAAGTGATTCTCTCTCCTCGGCACCATCCTCCACCCTCTCCAGCCCCTCCCCGAACTGGGATTACAGGCTTGAGTCACCGGGTCCAGCCCATTCTCTTTCCAAGAAGCCCCTGAATTGTATAAGCAAACATGAGGTCTCACTAACCCTGGATAAGCCCCTACAGATGAGGAGGACAACTTGGATCAGGGACCCCTGCTGAGTAGAGTTGGCTGAGCTGCTGGAACAAAGAGTCCCCCAAATACAGTGATCATGAATTACAAACCACAGAGTGTCATTCTCCACCAGCTCCTCCTCCCAAGGTGAGCGCTCCCCCTGGCAGGATGGCCCCACTCAGTCATCCAGGGGCCCTGGTTCCTGGCAGTTCTGTGCTCCACAGTCCCCGGGACAGGGCTCCCTCATCATCTTCACCCACCGGACCTCACGGCAGCCTTGAAAAGCCTACGGACCCTTCTCAGAAGGAAAGAACACGTGCAGGACAAAGGAATCCAACTCTGATTGTAATACAGTGATCAAAATATTTTTTCACACTGTGACATAGCAATTCATGTGCTTCTTCATGAATGCATTAAGTAAAAAATCACCTGTGGCAGCTTTAATAACCACTGTGACTTAGAAGCAGAGATGAGCATAAATGACATTTCAAGGTGCCTGCTGGAAGATAACGTGATAGGAAATGCCTGTGATTTCTTTTGGTAACAGTCACAAGTTCTGCTAACACTGCTGTGGTGTGTTGCTGCATTTGTAATGGATTCGTGCTAGATGCAAGACTGGTCCCCAGAGATGTTCCTGATTCCTGGACCTGGGAATATGTTATGTTCCATGGCACGAGGGACTCTGCAGATGTGAGTAAGTTAAGGGTTTGGGATGGGGGCGTTATCCTGGGTTGTCCACCTGGACCCAATGTCATCACAAAAGTCCTTCTAAGAAGGAGGCCGGGGTCAGCATCATTAGCGGAAGATGTAACCACAGAAACAGGACATTGGAGTGATGTCAGGAAGGGAACCGGGGTCAAGGGATGCTGGACACCCCCAGAGGCTGAGAAAGGAGAGAGATCTCCCCTGCTGCTTCCAGAAGGAACCCGCTCTGCTGACATCTTGACTGTCAGAACTGTAGGAATAGAAATGTGCATGCATTTTGTTTTGTTCTTTTTGTTCAGGTAATTTAAATATTTTTTTTAATTGTGGGAAACCCACAAAATGTACCATCTTATCCTTTCTAAAGCACATTGTTCAGTAGTGCAATTTTATTATTTATTTATTCTATTTTTTTTTTTTTGAGACAGGACCTTGCTCTGTCACCCTGGCTGGAGGGCACTGGCATGATCATAGCTCATTGCAGCCTCGACCTCCTAGGCTCAAGTGATCCTCCCACCTCAGCCTCCTGAGTAGCTGAGACTACAGGTGTGTGCCATTAGCCAGTCAGATGCCTGGCTAATTACTGTATTTTTAGTAGAGATGGGGTTTTGCCATGTTGGCCAGGTTGGTCTCGAACTCCTGACCTCAAGTGATCTGCCCCCCTTGGCCTCCCAAAGTGCCGGGATTACAGGTCTGGTCCTAGTGGTGTTTGCTACATTGTTCGGCAAGCAATCTCCAGAACTCTCTTCATCTTACAAAATTGAATCTCTGTACCCATTAAACAACAACTTCCTATTAACCCCTCCCGCTACCCCGGCAAATATTTAGACACGTCTGTTTCTAGGAATTTGACTTCTCTCAGCACCTCATGTAGGGGGAATCATACAGCATTTGTTCTTTTGAGACTGGCTTATTTCACTGACATAATGTCTTCAAAGTTCATTTTTATTGTAGCATGTGTCAGAACTTCCTTCCCTCCTCTTGCTCTCTTTTTTTTTTTTTTTTTTTTTGAGACAGAGTTTCGCTCTTGTTGCCCAAGCTGGAGTGTAGTGGCGCGATCTTGGCTCACTGCAACCTCCACCTGCTGGGTTCAAGTGAATCTCCTGCCTCGGCCTCCCGAGTAGCTGGGATTACAGGTGTCTGCCACCACACCCAGCTAATTTTTTGTAGTTTTAGTAGAAATGGGGTTTCACCATGTTAGCCAGGTCGGTCTCGAACTCCTGATCTCAGGTGATCCACTGGCCTTGGCCTCCCAAAGTGCTGGGATTACAGGCATGAGCTACCGCGCCTGGACTCTCTCTCTCTGTCTTTAAGTTTAGAGACAGGGTCTTGCTCTGTTACCCAGGCTAGAGTACTGTTGTGCAATCAGCTCACTGCAGCCTCAAATTCCTCAGCTCAAGTGATCCTCCTGCCTTAGCTTCCTGAGTAGCCAGCACTACAAATGTGTGCTACCACATCTGGCTAATTTTTAAATTTTTTATAGAGACGAGGCCTCAGTATGTTGCCCAGGCTGATCTGGAACTCCTGGATTCAAGCGATCCTCCTGCTCCGGCTTCCCAAAGTGCTGGGATTACAGGTGGGAGCCACCGCACCCGGCCAGAATTTTCTGCCTTTTGAAGGCTGAATCATATTCCATCATATGTGTAGACTATATTTTGCCCATCCGTCTATCCATCCCTGGAAAGTCTGAGTTGTTTTACCCCACTAAGTTGGGGGTCATTTGTTACAGCAGGTGTAAGAAACATACATTCAGGAAATATCAAATTTCAGACAGAGGTTAGTGAGAATACACATAGTTTTTCCGCCCTTCCAAATCCACAGGCCCAGGAATTCTTCTGCCAGGTTAGAAGCCCTGTCCTGGAGTTTGTTCTCACCTGTACAGCAGGATTCGGCTCTCAGACATGTCCAGTTTTTCAGTGGTGACAATAGGAAACAGAGCAGGGACCACCCACCCTGTGTTTTAAGGCCTAGATGGTGGTGATGGGTTAGTCACATGGTCATCCCTAGCATGCAGGATGCTAGAGAATGTAGTCTTGGGTTTGGTGGCCAGTACTAGTCTCCATATCTAATAATGCTGAGGATGGAGGGGCAAGAGGGTTTCGGAGCACATGTGCACATGGCAAGATCAGCCCCCAGGTTTCCTCAAGGGACTCCCTGGATGGGCAGAATTCAGGTGACCAAGGACTCAGAAAAGTATCTTCAAAGTACTCAATACCTCTGGTCAGCACGGTAGCTCAGGTCTGTAATCCCAGCACTTTGGGAGGCTGAGGTGGGAGGGTCACCTGAGGTCAGGAGTTCCAGACCAGCGTGGCCAACAAGGTAAGACCCCCATCTCTACTAAAAATACAAAAATTAGCCAGGTGTGGTGGCGGATGCCTGTATGAAAATACACACGGTTTTCCCTGCCCTTCCAAATGAAAATACACATGGTTTTCCCTGCCCTTCCAAATCCACAGGCCCAGGAATACACATGGTTTTCAGCTACTCAGAAGGCTGAGGCAGGAGAATCACTTGAAGCTGGGAGGTGAAGGTTGCAGTGAGCTAAGATCGTGCCACTGCACTCCAGCCTGGGCGACAGGCAACAGAGCGAGACTCCATCTCAAAAGAAAAAAAAAAAGAAAAACTCAAAACCTCTGAAGGCAGGAGGTGCAGGGGTTAAGGCCTGGGTGTCAGGGAAAACTCAGACTGCTCTTAGCACATACCTGCTGTGTAAACTTGGCCAAGTCTCTTAACCTCTCTGAGTACCAGCTTCTTCATTTTCAAGGTAGAAGAAAGCATGGTACCTTTCTCAGAGGTGTTGGGAGAATTCACTGCTCTTGCATGTGTAAAGCCTCCGGGACAGGGTGGCATCCGTTAGAGAAACTTGTCGTTGTCCTCACTTTGCACTGGCTGTTCCCGTTGCCTAGAATGCTGTTCCCTCCCTCCTCCTTTAGGTTTTCAACTAGATGTCCCCTTCTCTGGCTGCCTTAGAGCAGGCAACTTCTTCTGGGTTCAGCCGGCTCCATCTGCAGCATAATTTTTCTCAAAAGCGCTTCTTTCAGTGACATTGTACATATTTAACTTATTTGTTACTGCCTGACTCTCCCACTGGTATGTCAGCTCCTCGAGAGACAGGGAATTTTGTGTATTTTGTTCTCTGCTGGGCCCTCAGTGCACAGGACAGTGTTGGCCCATAGTTCCTGCTCAATAAATACTTTTTGAACCAATGACAGATTCAATGAATGAATAAAGGAATGGGTCTGTTACAATCAACCTGCTTCCTTTGAAGCCCTCAGCTGTACCTGAATTCCTGAGTAGACACTGTCACTCCCCTGTTCCTGCCTCCCCCACCCCCCAACTGATGGCAGGTTGGGGAGAGTTGGGAGTGCAGGGAGGGCTCTCCTTTTTTCCCTTGAGACGAGGTCTAGCTCTGTCACCCAGACTGCAGTGCAGTGGTGCAATCATGGCTCACTGCAACCTTGAACTCCAGGGCTCAAGTGATCCTCCTGCCTCAGCCTCCGGAGTAGCTGGGACTACAGGGGCACACCACCATGCCTGGCTAGTCGAAAAAAATTTTTTTTTGTAGTGACGGGGGTCTTGCTATGTTGCCCAGGCTGGTCTCAAATTCCTGACTTCAAGTGATCCTCCTGCCTTGGCGTACCAAAGTGGCCTGTCCTTTTCTTTATACTCTGTGGTCTTGGCCTCACTGACTCCGTCCTCCCATCCCCACAGTATCCCTTTCCCTGGGTGGTCTCCCCTACCCTAAGCAGTCTCCTTCTAGAGTCCCCCCTTCCACCCCTCAGGGAAATACTTCCCGGGTTTCCCTCAGCCACCCCCCTCCACATCTGAGCAATCTGCAGATACACAAGCCCCTCACCCGCCCCCTCAAACCCTAGTCCTGCCCTGGGGGCACCCGTGGCTCCTCCTCCTGAGCTGAAGCTGCTACAGCCCCAGGCATGTGTGGTTCAGGAAGTCACCTTCCTGTAGGCGAACACAGAGCCTGGCCCGGGCACGTGTCACTTTCTCTTTCCCCAGGGGCAGCTGCGGCACCTGGCCCCGCCCTGCTCTGGACTTCTCCAGCCTGGGCCTCCCCCACCCCACCCCCTCCGGTGCCTCAGGCCGCTCTGCACCCGTGGGACTGGCCTCTGTCCCAGCTAAACAGTGTGCCCTGGAGCTCAGGCAGGAATGATACCCCAGACCGAGCTGGAAATCAGAAACAGCCAAACCCAGAGCAGCAGGTGGAGATCCAGAAGAAGAGACCGAAGCCAGAGACTTTGAATAAGACTGAATAGAGACCCAAAGCCGTGGAGCCCAGGACACTGCATCCCCCTGGTGAAAAAGGCGCAGGAACCAGACAGGAAGTCCATGCAGCTCAGGCTTTAATAGACAGAACGAGGCCTGTGTGAGTCTCCCCCTGCCCCTCCTGCCGTGGGCTAGCCTCCATCACCCTCTATGGGTCACCATGCTGACTTTGTTGAGCGAAGACCTCCAGCTTCCTTCACTGGGCTAGCCTCCACCCTCCCTGCAGTAGGCTATCTCATGCTCCTACTGCAGGGACTGACGCATGTTCTTCTGTAGAAGAGGGTCCTCTACTATCCTCCCACCAGTTAACTTCCCTATCCTGTTGTCAGCCATCCTCCAATCCCATCAGAGTGGTCTAACCTCCACCCCTCCTGCTGGGGCTAACCTGTGCCTTTGCTGTCTAGGAAGTGTCGCTTCTGCTGAAGGACTGCAGGTGCCGCTCCCGCCTCTTCCCCAGGACCTGGGACCTGAGGCAGCTGCAGGTGAGAGGGGGAGTCAGGCCCACCCCTGCTCTCCCAGCCCCACTCACCTGGCTCTGTAGTGGCCCCTTCATCTTCTCCTTCTCCCTTGTCCCTCTCTCCTCTCCCCACACCTGCTCCCCCTTCCCTCTACTCCCACCTGACCACACTGGCTGTGCCCTCTCCCCTGTGCTTGTCACCTTCACTTGTTCCTCTCTATCCTCCTCCCCCCATCTGTTCCCCTCACCCGCCCCCTCACCTGCTCTTTCTCACCTCTCTTCAGGTGAGGGAGCGCCCTGTGGCTTTGGAGGCTGAGCTGGCCCTGACACTGAAGGTCCTGGAGGTCACCGCTGATGCTGATCCGGCCCTGGGGGATGTCCTGGACCAGCTCCTTCACACCCTCCACAACATCCTCTCCCAGCTTGGGGCCAGTGTGAGTCCTCGGGGCCCGGGCACCCAGGTCTGTGGGCTCTGAGCAGCATCCTTCCCCTGTGGTGGCCCAGGCCCCGCCTCACACACCGCCCTCCTCTGCTCACAGATCCAGCCTCAGCAAGGCCCAGGCCCCGGGGCCGCCTCCACCACTGGCTGCACCAGCTCCAGGAGGCCCCGAGGAAGATGACAGACCCGGGTCCTTTGGGTCCTGGGGGAGGATGGCAGGTGCACGAATTAGTGTCTCCCCAACAGAGTTCTGGGGCTCCTCGTGCCTCCACTGTCTTGAACCTTCCCCTTCCCTTCTCCTTTTTTTTTTTTTTTTTTAAGAGAGACATACACTATCACCCAGGCTGGAGTGCCGTGGTGAGGTCCTAGCTCACTGCAGCCTCTAACTTCTGGGTTCAAACGATCTTCCCTGCTAGCCCTCCCACATCACTGGAATTATAGGCATGAGCCACCACACCTGGCCTTTTCTGCCTCTCTATTTGGGACCTGAAGTGTGTGGCCAGTGGAGACCCGTGTGTCTGCCCCTGAGACCCACCTGCCATCTGTCTGTTTTAGTCTGTTTTCTGTTGCTTACAACAGAATATCTGAAACTGGGTAATTTATAAAGAAAAGGAATTTATTCCTTACAGTTCTGGAGGCTGAGAACGGCAAGGTCGAGAGGCCTCATCTGCTGAGGGCCTTCTTGCTGGTGGGGACTCTGCAGGGCCCTAAGGTGGTGCAAAGCATCACAGGGCGAGGGCACCAAGCATGCCAACTCAGGTCTGTCTTCCTCTTCTTATAAAGCCACCAGTTGGCTCACACCTGTAATCCCAGCATTTTGGGAGGCCAAGGTGGGTGGATCACTTCAGGTCAGGAGTTTGAGACCATCCTGGCCAACATAGTGAAACCCTGTCTCTACTGAGAATACAAACAAATTAGCTGACTGTGGTGGCTCAAGCCTGTAATCCCAGCTACTCAGGAGGCTGAGGCAGGAGAATCGCTTGAACCCTGGAGGTGGAGGTTGCATCGAGCCAAGATCATGGCACTGCGCTCCAGCCTGGGTGACATAGCGAGACTCTGTCTAAATAAATGAATAAATAAATAGAGCCACCAGTGCCACCCTCATAGTAACACATCAACCCATTAATCCATTAGTCCACGAATCCATAATCCAATCACCTCTTAGAAGCCACACCTCTTAATTCTGCCACACTGGGGATTTGGTTTCCACATGAGCTTTGGAGGAGATAAATATTCAAACCATAGCACCATCCATTACCTTAGGTATGTATGCACCAACTACCTTGCCTAGATTACCACCTCCAGATCCCTATTTGTTTGTGAAGCCCCCAAAAAATGTTTGCTCTTGTTCTTTTTATACAATTTGTGACAACAAACAATAAGAAATTTGTCTGTGACATTGACCTTGCTTGTATATGTGACTTTATTAATGACTGAACGCCACTTGTCTGCATATGTGACTGTAGCTGTACGTGTTTGTGTGTGTGTGTGTGTGTGTGTGTGCGTGTTTGTGTGTGTGTGTGTGAGACAGAGGAGAGAGAAAGCTGGGCAGGATGGCTTATGCCTATTATCCCAGTACTTTGGGAGGCCGTCCTGGGAAGATTGCTTGAGCACAGGAGTTTGAGACCAGCCTGGGCAACATAGCAAGACTCCAATCTCTATAAAAAATAAAGAATAAAAAAAATTAGCCTGGCATGGTGGTGTGCACTTGTAGTCCCAGCTACTCAGGAGGCTGAGGCAGGAGGATCACTTGAGCCAGGGAGGTCGAGGCTGCAGTGAGTATGATCCCACTACCGCACTCCAGCCTGGGTAATGGAGTGAGACCCTGGCTTTTTGTTATTTTTGTTTTTATTTTTATTTTTTTGAGACAGGATCTCACTCTGTCCCCCAGGCTGGAGTGCAGTGGTGCCATCTCAGCTCACTGCAACCTCCGCCTCCTGAGTTCAAGCGATTCTCCTGCCTCAGCCTCCTGAGTTGCTGGGACTACAGGTGTGTGCCACCATGCTGGCTAATTTTTGTATTTTTGGTAGAGACGGGGTTTTGCCATGTTGGCCAGGCTGGTCTCGAACTCCTGGCCTCAAGTGATCCACCCACCTTGGCCTCCTAAAGTGCTGGGATTACAGGCATGAGCCGCTGCATCCAGCTGACCCCTCCTTTAAGAAAAAAAAAGAAAAGAAAAAGAAGAAAGGGAGAGAGAAAGAGGGAGGGACAGAGAGTAAGAATATGAAAGAATGAATGAAGAGTGAAAAAGTCACTAAGGATGCTTTCAGTTACAAGTTGTGGAAGATTTAATTGCAAATGACTTAAACATCACAAGCAGTCATTAGGCCAACTAATAAGATGTCCAGAGGGAGGCTGTGCCTGGGTCAGAGCAGCAGGAAAATGGCATCATCATGGACCGAGGATCTGCATGTATGAGTGTATGTCTTATCTTATTTTAAAAAGTCTTTTTACTACTTTTTTTTTTTTTTGAGACAGAGTCTCACTCTGTCTCCCAGGCTGGAGTGCAGTGGCACAAGTTTGGCTCACTGCAACCTCTGCCTCTGGGGTTCAAGCAATTTTCCTGCCTCAGCCTCCTGAGTAGCTGGGATTACAGGCTCCCACCACCACACCAGGCTGATTTTTGTATTTTTAGTGGAGAAGACAGGGTTTCGCCACGTTGGCCAGGCTGGTCTCAAACTCCTGACCTTGTGATCCACCCATCTCGGCCTCCCAAAATTCTGGGATTACAGGTGTGAGTCACGGCACCTGGCCTACTATTATTTTTTTTACATTTTATTTTTTGCATTTTGTTTTTTACATTTACATTTTTTTTTACATTTTTACATTGCCCAGGCTGGTCTTGAATTCCTTTGCTCAAGTGATCCTCCTGCCTCAGCCTCCCAGAGTGCTGAAATTACAGGTGTGAGCCACCGTGTCCAGCCAGTGTGAGTGTATTGCTAAGGACGTGTCAAACTTGTGTTTGTGCCTCATTCACCCATAACCTCCTGTAGTTCTAAACCTGAGGTGACTATTGTCAGGGTGGGGACCTCTTGGGAGGAATGTCACAGAGTTGTCATCAAAAAGTCATTTTTGATGAGTTAGGTAGGTTAGAATTGCAAGCAATAGAAACCCACTCAAGCTAGCTTAAATGAAAAGAGGAATGTAGTACAAGGTTAAAGGCTGTGTTAAAGAATCTAATAGAAAACATTTTGGCACTATCTTGTCGAATATATGCAGATTGCATGAGCCAGAAATTCCAAATCTAAGATATATCAACAGAAACTCTTATACACATGCAATAGAGACACAGGTGGTACAAGAATGTTCTTTGAGGAAAAAGGTGACTTGGTCGGGCGTGGTGGCTCACACCTGTTACTCGGGAGGCTGAGGCAGGAGAATCGCTTGAACCTGGGAGGTGGAGGTTGCAGTGAGACAAGATCACACCATTGTACTCCAGCCTGGGTGACAGAGTGAGACTCCATCTCAAAAAAGAAGAGGTGGCTCACACCTGTAATCCCAGTACTTCGGGAGGCCAAGGTGGGAGGATAATTTGAGGCCAGCAGTTCAAACCTTGGCAATATGGCAAGACCCTGTCTCTATTAAAAAAAAAATACAAAAATTAGGTGGGTGGGGTGGCACATGCCTGTAGTCCCAGGTACTCAGGAGGCTGATGTGGGAGGATTGCTTGAGCCCTGGGAGGTGGAGGTTGCAGTAAGTCATCATCAAGCTACTGCCCTCCAGCATGGGTGACAGAGCAAGATCCTATCTCAAAAAAAAAAAGAATATTCTTTGCAGTGTTTGTTGTAACAGCAAAAAATTAGAATCAACCCAAATAGCTGCTAACAAATGAATCACTGAAATGAGGGGTGTGGAATACCATGCAGCAGGAACATGAACTACCACACATTTCCACATGGATAAATCTTAGCACTGTGGCAACCAAAGAGGAGTGCCACCAGGATGGAGTGCAGTGGCATGATCTTGGCTCACTGCAACCTTCACCGCCCGGGTTCAGGCAATTCTCGTGCCTCAGCCTCCCAAGTAGCTGGGATTACAGGCGTGTGTATTTCTTTTCTGAGACGGAGTTTTGCTCTTGTTGCCCAAGCTGGAGTGCAATGGCACGATCTCAGCTCACTGCAACCTCCGCCTCCCAGGTTCAAGCAATTCTCCTGCCTCAGCCTCTCGAGTAGCTGGGATTACAGGCATGTGCCACTACGCCCAGCTAATTTTTTGTATTTTTAGTAGAAACAGGGTTTCACCATGTTAGCCAGGCTGGTCTCGAATTTCTGACCTCAGCTGATCCTCCCACCTCAGCCTCCCAAAGTGCTGGGATTACAGGCATGAGCCACCGCCCCCGGCCGTGTGTGTATTTTTAATAGAGGTGGGGTTTCCTCATGTTGGCCAAGCTGGTCTTGAACTCCTGACCTCAAGTGATCAGCCTCTTTCAGCCTCCCAAAGTGCTGGGATTACAGGTGTGAGCCACTGAGCCCAGCCATCCCTTCAAAAAAGACCGTGCCATTCTGTTGCAAGCAGGGCAGTGCCTTCAGGATCTGCATCAGCTTTTGAGCCAAGACCTGGGGAAGACATCAGTGATTATTGAGCATGGCTTCTCAGATCAGGCCGTGCCTACCCAATGGGAGGCTCCTCTAATGAATGACCTGTGTTCTGAGCTCCCTGTGGCATTGGTCAACATTGCCAGAAATGCATCTTATTCAGGCCAGGCATGGTGGCTCACACCTGTAATCCCAGCACTTTGGGAGGCCCAGGTGGGAGGATCACTTGAGGCCAGGAGTTTGAGAACAGCCTGGATAACACAGCAAGACTCCGTGTCTACAGGAAAAAAAATAATATCACATTCTGAGCCTTTCCCTGCCCAATCCCACCTCACCTTTTTCCTCTCCCAGATGAATCAGATCAACATCATGGTCTCAGGCTCCTCCTGCCAGATTCTATTTCCTCCCCCTTGTATTTCTTTAGGCATCACCTACCAAAAAACTTCACACCCCTAGCTCTGTCTTAGCATCTAATGCCAACAGACGCAGGAATACAATGTTGAGTTCAAACACCAACCTATAGAAGACTACATATAATAAAATAACATTTTTGTAAGGCTCAACAACAAAACGACCCACTCTAGTGTGGTTAAACAGAAGGAAAAATCAATGGAAGGATAACACAACACAAAACAAAAAGTCAGAGGCCGGGTGTGGTGGCTCACGCCTGTAATCCCAGCACTTTGGGAGGCCGAGGCGGGCGGATCACCTGAGGTCAGGGGTTCGAAACCAGCCTGACCAACATGGTGAAACTCTGCCTCTACTAAAAATACAAAATTAGCTGGGCGTGGTGGTGCATGCCTGTAATCCTGGCTACTATGCAGGCTGAGGCAGGAGAATAGCTTGAACCCGGGAGGTGGAGGTTGCAGTGAGCCAAGATCACATCATTGCACTCCAGCCTGGGCAACAAGAGTGAAACTCCATCTCAAAGAAAAAAAAAAAAGTCAGGAAGGACACATAGGTAGCTCCAATAGTATTATGATGTTCTAGGATTTAAGTTGAGTGATGGGTTTATAAATATTCATTGATCATTAAGATGCGTGACTCATGTGCACTTCAAATATTCTTTTGTGGGTCTCAAATATTTTATATTCAAAACTAAAAATGAAAATGAAAATACCCAAAGGTAGGCCAGGTGCAGAGGCTCATGTCTGTAATCCCAGCACTTTGTGGGGGCCAAGGCAGGAGGATCGCTTGAGCCCAGGAGTTTCAGACCAGCCTGGGCAACATTGCATGACCCCATCTCTACAGAAAAACTTTAAAAAATTAGCCAAGTGTGATGGCACACACCTGTAGTCCTAGCTACTCAGGAGGCTGAGGTGGGAGGGTCGATTGCTTGAACCCAGGAGTTTGAGGCTGCAGTGAGCTATGATCACACCACTGTGCTCCAGCTTGAGTGACAGAGTGAGACTGTCTCTTAAAAAAAAAAAGAAAGAAAGAAAGGAAAGGAAAGGAAAGAAAAGGAGATACCCAAAGACGAGGAAAGGCCTGGAACTAGTGATCAGAATGGAGTGGTGATTGGAGTGCTGCCTCTTGTCCTTTCTTCAGGATGGCAAAATGTTGGAGGGCACAGGCTGTGAAATAAAACCTGTTGGGTTTAGAGCTCAGCTCTGAAGAAAGGTAAAGGGAGCATATTTTCCTCTTGTTAGTGTTGTCCTCTTTGTATGTGATGCCTGGAACTGTGGCAGCCACCTTGTGCCTATGAGGGGAGACAGGCTGAGGCTCAGGCTGACAAACTGAAATACTGAAATACTGAAATGACAGAACAAAGCTGGAAGGGGCTGGGCACAATGGCTCACGCCTGTCATCCCAGCACTTTGGAAGGCCAAGGTGAGAGGATCATTTGAGGCCAAGAGTTGAAGACCAGCCTGGGCAACACAGTGAAACCCTATCTTCTCTCTCTCTCTCACACACACACAGACATACACACACACACACACACAGAGAGAGAGAGAGCTGGAAGGGGCTTGGGACTGAATTAGGATGACGTAATTAATTATGAACATTCTGTGTCTGGCATCTGCCAACCCCAGACTTTTTCCTTTCCTTTCCTTTCCTTTCCTTTCCTTTCCTTTCCTTTCCTTTCCTTTCCTTTCCTTTCCTTTCCTTTCCTTCCTCCCTCCCCTCCCCTCCCCCTCCCCCTCCTCTCCTCTCCTCTCCTTTCTTTTCCTTTCCTTTCCCCTTTCCCTTCCCCCCTTTCCTTTCTCTCCTCTCCTTTATCCCCTCTCCTTTCCCCTTCTCTCCCCTCCCCTCCCCTCCCCTGCCCTCTCCTTTCCTTTCCTTTCTTTTTTTTTTGAGACAGGGTCTTGCTCTGTTGCCCAGGCTGCAGGTAGTGGTGAGATCATGACTCACCGTGGCCTCAGCCTCCCTGGCTCAAGCGATTCTCCTGCCTCAGCCTCCTGAGTAGCTGGGACTACAGGTGTGTGCCACCATGCCCAGCTAATTTTTTTATTCTTTATTTTTTGTAAAGACAGGAGTCTCACTATATTGCCCAGGCTGGTCTCAAACTCCTGGGCTCAAATGATTCACCCACCTTGGCCTCCCAAAGGGCTGGATTACAGGCGTGAGCCACCATGCCTGGCCTTTTGCCTATTTTCTAATTAGATTATTGTTTTTCTTTTACTTTTTAGTTTTGAGAGGCTTTAAAAAATAAATATATATTCTAGATACTAGTCTTTTGTCAGATATGTGGTTTTCAAATATTTTCTCCTAATCTGTAGCTTGTCTTTCTGTCTTCTTCTTTTCTTTTCTTTCTTTCTTTTCTTTTCTTTTTTTTTTAAGATTGGGTCTTGCTTTGTTGCCCAGGCTGGAGTGCAGTGGCACAATCTTGGCTCATTGTAGCCTCGACCTCCTGGGCTCAAATGATCTTCTACCTCAGCCTCCCGAGTAGTTGGGACCACAGGCATGCAACACCATGCCTGGCTAATTTTTGTACTTTTTGTAAAAATGGGGTCTTGCCAGGTTGTCCAGGCTGGTTTCGAACTCCTGACCTCAAGTGATCATCCGCCTCGGCCTCCCAAAGTGCTGGGATTAAAGGTGTGGGTCACCACACCGGCCAACTCTTTATATCTTCTTAATGGGGTCTTCCACAGATTAAAAATTTAAATTTTGATGAAGTCCAACTTCTCAGCTTTTCATTTTATGAATCGTGCTTTGAGTGTCAAGTGTAAAAACTCTTTCCGAAGCCTCAGATCCCAAAGATTTTCCCCTATGTTCTTTTAAAAATATATTCTAGCTTCACTTTTTTTTTTTTTTTTTTTTTTTTGAGACAGGGTTTCACTCCCGTTGCCCAGGCTGGAGTGCAGTGGTGTGATCTTGGCTTGCTGCAACCTCCGCCTCCTGGGCTCAAGTGATCCTTCTGCCTCAGCCTCCCGAGTAGCTGAGATAACAGGTAAATGTCACTGCGCCTGGCTAATTTTTGTATTTCACCGTGTTGGCCAGTCTGGTCTCGAACTTCTGGGCTCAGGTTATCCGCCCACCTTGGCCTCCCAAAGTGTTGGAATTACAGTGTGAGCCACTGTGCCCGGCCTAGTTTTACACTTTAAATTTAAATTTTTGATCCATTTTGAGCGTAAGATCTGAGGTTTATATTGTGATCCACTTTTCTGCCTATAGATATCCAATTGGTCCAAACACCATTTGTTGAAAAGGCTATTCTTCCTCAATTGAGTTGGCTTTGCACCTCTGCCAAAAATCAGTTGGGCGTATTTGTGTGGGTCTATTTCTGGGTTTTCTATTGTGTTGCGTTGGTCTATGTGTCTCTCCCTCTACCAAAACAACACTGTCAGTTACTGTAGTGTATCCTAAGTCTTGAAATCAGCAGGCTAGTTCCTCTTATTTTATTCTTCTTTTAATTTTTAAAAATGTTTAATTTAATTTTATTTATTTATTTTGAGATGGAGTCTCGTTCTGTTGTCCACGCTGGAGTGCAGTGGCACGATCTTGGCTTACTACAAACTCTGCCACCTGGGTTCAAGCGATTCTCTTGCTGATTTAAATTTTTTTTTTGAGACGGAATCTCACTCTGTCACCCAGGCTGGAGTGCAATGGTGCGATCTCGGCTCACTGCAACCTCTGCCTCCTGAGTTCGAGTGATTCTCCTGCCTCAGCCTCCTGAGTAGCTGGGACTACAGGCACCCACCACCATGCCTGGCTAATTTTTGTATTTTTAGTAGAGGTGGGGTTTCACTATGTTGGCCAGGCTGGTCTCAAACTCCCGACCTCAGATGATCCACCTGCCTCAGCCTCCCACAGTACTGAGATTACAGGTGTGAGCTACCACGCCCGGCCTATTCTTTTTAAAATTGGTTTACTTATTCTAGTTCCTTTAGCGTTCATGTAAATTGTAGAATAATCTTGTCTATATCTGAAAAGTCTTGCTGGAGTTTTGAATAGGAATTGCATTAAGTCTACATATCAATATGGAGAGAACTGAGGTCTTTACTCCGTCCAGTCTTCCAATCCACAAATGCAGTGTGTCTCTCCTTTTAATTAGGTCTCCTTTAATGTTTTCCATCAGGGTTTTATAGCTTTCACTATATGAGTCCTTAGATTTCACCTAAGCGATTCTTTTTTTAAAAGTTATTATAAATGGTATTTTGGGGGGTTGGTGAGGACAGGGTCTTGCTCTATTGCCCAGGCTGGAGCGCAGTGGCGGAATCACAGCTCAGTTCAGCCTCCACCTCCTGGGCTCAGGTGATCCTCTCACCTCAGCCTCCCAAGTTGCTGAAACTACAGACACGTGCAACCATGCCAAGGTTTTTTTTTTTTTTTTTTTTTTTTAATAGAAATGGGGTTTTGCCATGTTGCCCAGGCTGGTCTCAAACTCCTGCCCTCAAACCATCAGCCTGCCTTGGTCTCCCAAAGTGCTAGGATTACAGGCATGAACCACTGAGGCTAGCTGTATTTTTTGTTTTGGTGTTCAAAAGAGATTTCTGGGCCAGGCGCAGTGGCTCATGCCTGTAATCCCAGTACTTTGGGAGGCTGAGGCAGGAGGATCACTTGAAGTCAGGAGTTTGAGACCAGCCTGGCCAACATGGTGAAACCTTGTCTCTATTAAAGATACAAAAAAATTAGCTGGGCGTGGTGGCAGGTGCCTGTAGTTCCAGCTACTTGGGAGGCCGAGGCATGAGAATTGCTTGAAACCAGGAGACGGAGATTGCAGTGAGCAGAGGTTGTGCTACTGCACTCCAGCCTGGGCAATAGAGAAAGACTCAGTCTCAAAAACAAACAAACAAGCAAACAAAAACAAACAAACAAAAAAACACCAAAAAACAAAAACAAACAAAAAACCCCCACACAACCAACAATCAAAAGAGATTTCTGTCTGTTTTGTTCACTTTTATGTCCCCAGCACACAAAACAGTGCCTGGCACACTTTAGGTGTAAGTATTTCTTGATAGAATGAGTGCATTTGTTGCTAATGTAGACAGTTGATCTTTGTATGTTTGTCTTATATACTCTCATCTTGCTGGACTCAGTGCTATGAGAATTTTTGTAGATTACTTGGATTTTCTATGTTGACAATTATGTCATCTGCAAACAGATTGTGTGTGTGTGTGTGTGTGTGTGTGTGTGTTTGAGACAGAGTTTCACTCTTGTTGCCCAGGCTGGAGTGCAGTGGCGTGATCTCGGCTCACTGCAACTTCCGCCTCCCAGGTTCAAAAGATTCTCCTGCCTCAGCCTCCTGAGTAGCTGAGAATACAGGCATGCACCACCAAGCCTGGATAATTTTTGTATTTTTAGTAGAGATGGGGTTTCACCATGTTGGTCAGGCTGGTCTCGAATTCCTGACCTTGTGATCCACCTGCCTCGACCTCCCAAAGTGCTGGGATTACAGGTGTGAGCCCCTGCACCCAGCCTGCTAACAGTTTTATTTCTTCTTTTTTGATCTAGTTGCCTTTTATTTCCTTCTCTTGCCTGATTGCACCAGATGGAACTTTCAGTACTGTGGTTGAATAAGAATGGTGATAGAGGACATCTTTGCCTTCTTCCTCATCTTAGGGAGAAAGCACTCAGTCTTCCATCATTAAGTTTTGCATTTTTTGTGGAGATGGGGTTTCACCATGTTGCCCAGGCTGGTGTTGAACTCATGAGCTCAAACAACCTGCCTGTCTCAGCCTCCCAAAGTGCTGGGATTACAGGCATGAGCCACCGTGCCTGGCCCCACAGCTGTAGGCTTTTTATAGATGTTCTTTATCAAGTTGAGGCAGTTCCCCTCCATTCCACTTTTTCTGAGAGTTTTTCTTTTTAATCATGAACGGGTGCTGAAGTATGGCAAATGCTTTTTCTGCATTATTTGATATGATCATGTGATTTTTCTTCTTCCACCTGTTTTGGTGGATTATACTGATTATTTTTAAATATTGAACCGGGCTTGCATCTCTGAAATGAACCCCATTGGGTCATGGTGTATAATTCTTTTGATCTATTGATGAATTCTATGCGCAAATATTTTGTTAAGAGTTTCTGCGTTAGTCGGGCGCGGTGGCTCATGCCTGTAATCTCAACACTTTGGGAGATCAAGGTGGGCAAATCGCCTGAGGTCAGGAGTTCGAGACCAGCCGGCCAACATGGAGAAACCCCAACTCTACTAAAAATAAAAAAATTAGCTGGGTGTCGTGGTGTAATGCCAGCTACTTGGGATATATATACAAATTTAAAAGCCAGTTGAGTTAGGGTTTTTTTTTTTTTTTTGAGACAGAGTCTCTCGTTCTGTCACCCAAGCTGGAGTACAGTGGTGAGATCTCAGCTCATTGCAAGCTCCACCTCTTGATTCATGCCATTCTTCTGCCTCAGCCTCCTGAGTAGCTGGGACTACAGGCGCCTGCCACTACATCCGGCTAATTTTTTTGTATTTTTCGTAGAGACGGGGTTTCACCATGTTAGCCAGGATGGTCTCGAACTCCTGACCTCGTGATCTGCCTACGTCAGCCTCTCAAATGAGTTAGGGTTTTCTATTACTTGCAGCCAAAATCATCCTTGATGAAACCCATGAAAAGGAAAGATGAGTTTCCCTCAAAGTTGAAGAACTCTGGCTCAATGGGCCTGCTCTGCCATCACCATTCCCCAAAGCTGCCACGGTATGAAGCTGTCAACGTTCTTGTGTTTGGTGTCCATGGGGTCGGAGAAGGGATGAATCATCTGGGGGCACCAGGCTCTTTCAACTGCCCCCTCTTGTGGCAACACCACTTCTTCAAACACTTGTCTCTTCAAAGTTTCACTCTGGCTTTTTCAACCCTTCTCTGCTTCCTCATATCCACTACCTGTCACCCTGCCCCTCTCCAAATGCATTACTTTGCCATCTACTTCACAGAAGCTGCTGGGTGGACCTTCCTCATCTCCTACCTGGCCCCACACTTGCCCTGCTCCCTGTCATGAGGGATGAGTGCCCTTTCTTCCTAACTTGGGCCGGTGCCTGGCCCTGGCCCCTCCTGTCTCATTCCTCCATAAATTGCCCCTCCCTTTTCCTCTATTTTCAAAACTTCCTTCCTTTTCTTTGTTTCTTTCCTTTTTTAAAAAACAGGGTCTTGCCCTGTTACTTGCAGCCAAAATCATCTTAAGCATCTTATTGCTGGTCTTACAGTAGAGCCCGTAGTGGACGATGCACTGGCTCTCGGAGTTTCTGTTCAGAAATGATACACACTTGGTCGAGCACAGTGGCTCATTCCTGAAATCCCAGCACTTTGGGAGGCCAACGTGGGAGGGTTCCTGGAGCTCAGGAGATTGAGACCAGCCTGGGCAACATAGTGAGACCCCATCTCTACAAAAAAATACAAAAAATTAGCCGGGTTTGGTGGCTCACACCTGCAGTCCCAGCTACTTGGGTGGGGAGGGGGATGGCTGAGGCAGGAGGATTGCTTGAGCCTAGGAGTTTGAGACTGCAGTGAGCCATGCTTGTGCCACTGCACTCCAGCCTGAGTGACAGAGTGAGACCCCATCTCAAAAAAAGAAAAGAAATGATACAAACCACTTTACTTCCTCTCCCATTTCACTGGCAAAAACACGTGACATAGCCAAGCCTGAGGTAAATAAGTCAGAGATTTATAATTTTCCCCAAGAAATTAATTCCTTGCTTTGTAAGGGAAGAATTAATTCCTTGCTTTGAATGACAAGGCAGTCTAATACATCCTACATTCATGTATCTCCAATTCTGATGTCAAAAAGGACAAATTAGTTTTATGATTGTGTATACAAACGAACTCCAGTTCAGATTCAAATTGGGCCACCTGACAAGCCAATAGCAGCAAAGACTTTGATCCTAAAGGTTTCCTTGTCATCTTCAGAACAATGATCTAAGGAAGGGATTGGCCAATGGAAACCCCCATGAGAGGAGCTAGTACAGTTGCCGGGAAGGCAGCACCACTGGGCTGCTCTCCGTGGTTCTGAACTCCACTGTCTGCTAGAGCAGGGTGCTTTGTTTCATCTCTACAAGCTGTTTTTGTTTGTTTTGTTTTGTTTTGTTTTTTGTTTATTTACTTATTTGAGATGGGGTCTGGCTCTGTCACCCAGGCTGGAGTGCAGTGGGTGATGACAGCTCACCACAGCCTCAATCTCCCAGGGGCAAGTGATGCCCCCCACTCAGCCTCCTGAGTAACTGGAACCATGTGTGGCTAATTTTTTTTTTTTTTTTTGTAGAGATGGATTCTTACTACATTGCTCAGGCTGGTCTTGAACTCCTGGACTCAAGTGATTCCCTCACCTTGGTCTCCCAAAATGCTGGGATTACAGGCATGAACCACCATGCCTGGCTAGAGTTTCTTTTTTAAAATTATTTATTTATTTATTTATGAGACAGAGTCTCACTCTGTTGCCTAGACTGGAGTGCAGTGGTGCGATCTCGGCTCACTGCAACCACCTCCTGGGTTCAAGCGATTCTCTTGCCTCAGCCTCTAGGTAGCTGAAATTACAGGCGTGCACCACTACGCCTGGCTAATTTTTGTATTTTTAGTAGAGACGGGGTTTCAGCACGGTGGTTAGGCTGGTCTCGAACTCCTGACCTCAAGTGATCCTCCTGCCTCGGCCTCCCAAAGTGCTGGGATTACAGGCGTGAGCCACCGCACCCAGTGTCCCCCGTTTTTAAAGTTTTTTTGGGCCGGGCGCGGTGGCTCATGCCTGTAATTCCAGCACTTTTGGAATTACACACAAGTGCTCCTGATATCTTGTACTGTATTACTTTTTTTATAGCATATATCACCTTCTAACTTATCATAAATGTGCTTATTTTTATTTTTTTATTTTATTATTTATTTTATTTTATTTTATTTCATTTTATTTTTTGAGACAGGGTCTCACTCTGTCACCCAGGCTGGAGTGCAGAGGCACGATCTTGGCTCAGTACAGCCTCCACCTCCTGAGCTCATGCAATTCTCTCACCTCAGCCTCCCAAGTAGCTGGGAACACAGGTGCACGCCACCAAACCTGACTATTTTTTTCTATTTTTAGTAGAGACGGGGTCTCGCCATGTTGCCCAGGCTGGTCTCAAACTCCTGAGCTCAAGCAATCTTCCTGCCTTGCCCATCTAGCCAGATTTGCTTTTTTTTTTTGAGATGGAATTTCACTATGTCCCCCAGTCTGCAGTGCAGTGGTGCAATCTTGGCTCACTGCAACCTCTGCCTCCTGGGCTCAAGCGATCCTCTGGCCTCAGCCTCCTGAGGAGCTGGGATTACAGGTGTGTGCCACCACACTCGGCTAATGTTTGTATTTTTAGTAGAGACGGGGTTTTACCATGTTGGTCAGGCTGGTCTCGAACTCCTGACCTTAAGTGATCTGCCCAACTTGGTGTCCCAAAGTGCTGGGATTACAGGCGTGGGCAACCGCTCTCAGCTGTGTCCTCTCTTCTTAAACCTCCAACTCTTCCTCCCACATGTCCACGCTCACGGATGGCTTTGTTTCTTCCACTGAAAACACAGAAGCCATAGAAGAGAAATCCCCTGTGCTCCCACCAGCAGCTCTACTTACTTCCCAGCGTCTAGGCCTAGATACTCTGCTATCCTCCTGTTCCAATATGATATGATCCCCAACCTCCTTTCCAAGCCCAACTTCTCCACTTGGCCTCTGTGTCCCACCCTCTCTCTCAAGAACATGCTCCACAGTTCTCCCCACATTCTTGCATCATCAGTTGCACCTTATTTAATGAAATTCTGGACAGGAACAGTGGCTCATGCTTGTAATCCCAGCACTTTTGGGAGGCTGCGGTGGGAAGATCACTGAAGCCCAGGAGTTTGGAGGCTGCAGTGAGCTATGATCGTGCATTCCAGCCTAGGTGACAGAGCAAGATGAAAGAAAGAAAGAAAGAGAGAGAGAGAGAGAGAGACAGAAAGAAAGAAAGAAAGAAAGAAAGAAAGAAAGAAAGAAAGAAAGAAAGAAGGAAGGAAGGAAGGAAGGAAAGAAAGGAGGGAGGGAGGAAGGGAGGAAGGAAGGAAAGGAAGGAAGGAAGGAAGGGGAAGGGAAGGGAGGAAGGAAGGAGGGAAGGAAGAAGGAAGGAAGGAGAAAGAAGAAAGGAAAGAAAGAAAGAAATTAGAAGAAGGAGAAGGAGAAGAAAAGTAAGTAAGGAAGGAAGTAAAAGAGAGAAAGGAAGGAGGAAGAGAGGGAACAAAGAAGGAAGGCAGGAAGGGAGAGAAAGAGAAAGAGAAAGAAAGAAAGAAAGAAAGAAAAGAAAGAAAAGAAAGAAAGAAAAGAAATTCTATCTCCACCCCTACCCCTCCAGCTTCTACTCCATTCCTCTGCTTGTCTTTTCAGCAACAATTGTCAAGCATTGTCTCCATCCTCTTCTTCTCTTCCTACTTCCTCTTGTCTCTACTTCCTCTTCCCCTGTGTCTCTTTTCCACACATTCCAATGAGGCTTTTGCCCCAACCACTGCAGATTCAGCTCTTGTCAAGACAACCAATGACCTCCATGTTGCTGAATCCAGGAGTAACTAACTTCTCAGTTCCATCTTTCCTGATGTGTCAGCAGTGGTGACATGGGTGATGACCCTCTGCTGCTGAGACACATTCTTCACGTCCTTCCATGGTCTAGGTCCCCTCCTGACACTGTCTGCTCCTCCTCGGTCTCTTTTGCTTATTCTTCCTCTCCCTCCTCATTTCTAAACACTGGCATCTGCCAGCCATGGTGGCTCACGCCTGTAATCCCAGCACTTTGGGAGGCTGAAGTGGGAGGATCTCTTGAGCCCAGGAGGCGGAGGCTTCAGTGAACTATGATATGGCACCACTGCACTCCAGCCTGGATGACAGAACAAGATCCTATGTTAACAAACAAAAACAAAGGCCAGGCCTGGTGACTCAAGCCTGTAATCCCAGCACTTTAGGAGGCCGAGGCGGGTGGATCACCTGAGGCCAGGAGTTCAAGACCAGCCTGGCCAACCTGGCAAAACCCAGTCTCTACTAAAAAATTCAAAAATGAGTCGGACATGGTGGCAGGTGCCTGTAATCCCAGCCTCTCAGGAGGCTGAGACAGGGAGAATTGCTTGAACCTGGGAGGTGGAGGTTGCAGTGAGCCAAGATCGTGCTACTGAACTCCAGCTTGGGTGACAGACTGGGACTCCATCTCAAAAACAGAAACAGGCTGGGTGCAGTGGCTCACGCCTGTAATCCCAGCACTTTGGGAGGCCAAGGCGGGCGGATCACGAGGTCAAGAGATCGAGACCATCCTGGCTAACATGGTGAAACCCCCATCTCTACTAAAAATACAAAAATTAGCTGGGCGTCCTGGTGCCCGCCTGTAATCCCAGCTACTTGGGAGGCTGAGGCAGGAGAATCACTTGAACCCAGAAGGTGGAAGTTGCAGTGAGCCAAGGTCACACCACTGCACTCCAGCCTGGCGACAGAGCAAGACCCTGTCTCAAAAATATATATATAAAATAAAATTAAAAAAAAAACAGAAACAAAAACAAAAAATCAAAAACACTGGACTACCCCAGGGCTCAGCCCCAGCCTTCTCCCGCATCTATCTGTGATGCAGTTGTCTATTCTCATGGTTTAAAACCCAACCCCACTGCTACAGTGATGACTCCTGGGGAAGATCCAGTTACTGATGCAAATTCTTCACCCCTCCCTCCATCTATACCCTCGCCACGGACTTGCCAAAGGCAGAGTGTACTTCTGTGCCCTTTGATGTTGGATCTGGCCATGTGACTGTTTTAAGCCCATGACATTGATGTCCAGAAGTGAACACCTGAGGCAGGTCATGTCCCTCCCCTGCTCAGAATCTGCCCATGGCTCCATGTCACTCAGGGTAAAGGGAGTGACCCGAATCATTCACTTTATATATTTAGTGACAAAGACCTTACGTGAGGCCCCCATGACCTGCCCCTGTGACCACTCTGACCTCATCTCCTCCCTTTCTCCGTCTACCTCTGTCCACTCCTTGCTATTCCTCAAATATTCCTTTGCACTGGCTGTTCCCTCTACCTCGAATGCTCTTCCCCCAGTATCACCATGTCTCCCTCCTTCTCCTCCTCGAGTCTTCGACCAAATGCTTCTGCATGAGGGTCCCCTGATCACGCTATTCAAAAGGGCACCCGCCTCACTCCATCCTCCCTCCCGGCTGTACTTGTCTCCATAGCACCTACTGGGCATGGCATTCAATCACTGCAATTATTATTATTATTATTATTATTATTATTATGAGACAGGGTCTCATTCTGTT
>NW_025791810.1:0-89211 GCF_000001405.40 Homo sapiens | reverse complement strand
AGCAGTCCGGGTGCGGGGATCGGGGGACCTCGGCGGGGGCATCCACAGGGGCTGCAAGATCTCTGGTCAGCATGGCGTGGGTGGGGAGAGCGTTTCTCCCTGGGGTCCTGAGCCAGTGACTCCTGTTAGGACCTTTGTCCCACCTCCGCCTGGTGGACCGGCAGGGACCTGGTCTAGCCAGTCCTGCAGCCTCCATTCCCCCACCTGCCCCTCCCCGCTCTGTGGTGTGGCTGCCCAGGAGAGAAGGGGCCCAGGGAAGGGAGGTCTCCGGCAGGGGTGGGGAGTGACAGGCCAGGGCAGCAGGGCTGAGCCGGAGCTGCTCACAGCTGCCAGGCACTGGTCATCATGGCCACGAACTCCTCATCCGTGTTCATGGAGGCACTCACGCCGCTGTAGTAGTCCTGGAATTCCGCCAGTGTGACCTGGGAACAGAGGGCCGTGAGGGGGCACGGCCGAGGAACTGCCTGGGGAGGGGGCCCCCCGCGCAGCCACCCACCTGCCCGTCCTTCTCAGAGGAGTCGAAGTTGTCCAGGAAGCGGCGCAGCACCTCGTCCTCGGTCCACTCCCCACTGCGCACCTTGGGGTGGGCACGGCCACTGTACACCCCGCGGAGGTCGTCCACCGTCACGACGCCGTCCCCACTGCGGTCCAGCTTGGCAAATGCAGCTGCGATGACAGCCTCCCGGGCCTGGGACATGGGGGGCTGGGACAGGAGGTGGTGACTGGGGGTGGTGGGTAGCACACCCAAACCCCCAAGACGCTGTGCAGAGCACTGGGGCTGTATGCCCCAGCAGGCGCCTCTTAACAGCAGCTCTTAGGGAGGAGTCCCCGTCTCCGCATCTCAGCATCCTCTGTCGCCCCATGCCCAGGGCACACGCCTTGACTGTGAGGTGGGGGCTCACCCGCAGCGCCCGAAGGAACTCCTCCAGATCCAGCGTCCCGCTGCCATTGCGGTCCCACTTCCTGCACACACCCTCTGCCTCCGCCTGGTCCAGCACCAGCCCGAGTTTGGCCAGACCCTGCCGGAACTCATCAGCGTCCAGGGATCTGCTCCCGTCCCGGTCTAGTTGGCGGAAAAACCTGGAGGCAGGGGACACGGTTGGAACAGTGGTCTCAGGGGCCGGGGTCAGGAAGGTGAGAGGGGACAGCTCACCTGGCCAGGCCCTGGATGCCCGAGGCCCCGCGGGACAGGCACTGTGCCCGGAGTTTCTCCATGGTGGCATCCACGGCGTCCATGCTTGGTCTGGGCTCTGGGCAGCTGGAAGGGAGAGAGGTCAAGGTGGGGACTCCCGCAAGCCCACCCTGGCCGACTGCCCCTTGTTCAGATGCTCACCTGGCCTGCGTCTGTCCCAGAGTCCTGCCTGCGGGGCCTTGTGTTAGCTGTGTTGTGCCTGGGGAGACTGTTGCTAGTGGAAGGTGCCTCTGGAGATGGGGTGGGGCCCAGCTGCATGAATGCACTGTGCTGGGCAGTGGGGAGTGGGGGAGGGATGGGTGCGCCCAGCCTGACTGCTTACTCAACTGCCAGCCCCACAGGGCCTGGGACAGAGCCAGATCCCTGTGGCACTGCATCCCTTCCTGGCTCCAAGGAGGAGGGGCAGGCCACTGCCCTGCAGGGGCTGAAATGCCCTGGATGGAGACAAGTCCGTGGCTGGGGAGGCTTGACGCATGATTCCTGTGTGACCCTGGACAGGTCCCTTTCCCTCTCTGGCTTCACAGGGGCTTCTCAGCCCGAGCCAGGGCTGACAAAATTGCTGAGGAATCAAAGTTCAAAAGGGCCCCAGGTTCTGACCGGCCACTGCGGCTCATGCCTGAAATCCCAGCACTTTGGGAGGTCTAGGTGGGAGGATCACTTGAGCCCAGGAGTTTGGACCAGCCTGGGGAACATATAGAGAACTTGTTTCTATTGTACAGCAACAAAAATGCCCCAGGTGGGCTGGGCGCGGTGGCTCATGCCTGTAATCCCAGCACTTTGGGAGGCCGAGGTGGGCAGATCACAAGGTGAGGAGTTTGAGACCAGCCTGACCAACATGGTGAAACCCCGCCTCTACTAAAAATACAAAAATTAGCCGTGCATGATGGTGGGCGCCTGTAATCCGAGCTACTTAGGAAGCTGAGGCAGGAGAATCGCTTGAACCCAGGAGGTGGAGCTTGCAGTGAGCCAAGATTGCACCACTGCACTCCAGTCTGGGCGACAGAGCAAGACTCCATCTCAAAAAGAAAAAAAAAAAAAAAGCCCCAGGTGGCCCAGGTCCTGGGGCCCTAAGACCTCCCACCCAGGCCCACCTCCAAGGGCAGGTCCTGCAACCCACAGAGACTGAGCTGAGCCTGAGGGACACCTCTGCTCACTGCCACAAAGCTTGTCACTGGCCGTTGTTAGGAGCCAGTCCCAGGATTTCTGTCTTTACGGATCTTTTGTTGTTGGTTTTCAGGCCTGAAACGTGACTTAGTGGGCTGGCTCCTGACAAGGTGGTGAGCCAGAGGTTGTGACCCCGAGTGGAAGAGCAGCCCTGATCCTGGACATAAACCTCAAGAGACGAAGCCACCTCACTGAAGGCCTTCAACGGAGACATCGGATATACCTGCCCGCTAAGATAGGTGGGTTTTCCAGGACTTGAAACGTGGGCCCTGTTTGAGGACCCACTGTTCGCCCCGACCCAAGGATCATCAATCGGAGCCTTCTCCAAGCCTGGCTTTACCTCGCTCACAGCACAATTATATTGTCAGAAGTTGCCTTGCCTGAGCGCGGTGGCTCATGCCTGTAATCCCAACACTTTGGGAAGCCAGGGCAGGAAGATCACTTGAGCCCAGGAGTTTGAGACCCGCCTGTGCAACATAGTGAGACCCCCCCATCTCTACAAAAACTACAAAAAATTAGCCAGGCATGGTGGTGTGTTCCTGTAATCCCACCTACTTGGAAGGCTGAGGCAGGAGGATCACTTGAGCCCGGGAGTTGGAGGCTGCAGTGAGCTATGATCGCACCACTGCACTCCAGCCTGGGTTACAGAGCAAGACGCCCGCCTCTTAAAAATAAGTAAATAAACTGGCCGGGCACGGTGGCTCACGCCTGTAATCCCAGCACTTTGGGAGGCCGAGGCGGGCAGATCATGAGGTCAGCAGTTCGAGACCAGCCTGGCCAACATGGTGAAACCCTGTCTCTACTATAAATACAAAAATTAGTCAGCCGGGTGCGGTGGCTCATGCCTGTAATCACAGCACTTTGGGAGGCCGAGGCAGACAGATCACCTGAGGTCAGGAGTTTGAGACCAGCCTGGCCAACATGGTGAAACCCTGTCTCTACTTAAAATACGAAAAACTAGCTGGGCGTGGTGGTATGTGCCTGTAATCCCAGCTACTCGGGAGGCTGAGGCAGGAGAATTGCATGAACCTGGGAAGCGGAGGTTGCAGTGAGCCGAGATCGTGCCATTGCACTCCAGACTGGGGGACAAGAGCAAGACTTTGTCTCAAAAAAAAAAAAAGAAAATTAGCCAGGTATGGTGGCGGGTGCCTGTAATCCCACCTACTCCAGAGGCTGAGGCAGGAGAATCACTTGAACCCAGGAGGCAGAGGTTGCAGTGAACCAAGACCATGCCACTGCACCACAGCCTGGGCGACAGAGTGAGACTCTGTCTCAAAAATAAATAAATAACTTAAAAAAAGAGGCCAGGGCTGGGCGCGGTGGCTCACAGCTGTAATCCCAGCACTTTGGGAGGCTGAGGTGGGCGGATCACTTGAGGTCAGGAGTTCAAGACCAGCCTGGCCAACATTTTGAAACCCCATCTCTACTAAAAAAAATAAATAGCTGGGCATGGTGGTGCATGCCTGTAATCCCAGCTACTCAGGAGGCCAAGGCAGGAGAATCACTTGAACCCTGGAGGCAGAGGTTGCAGTGAGCCTAGATCACACCACTGTACTTCAGCCTGGGTGGCAGGGTGGCAGAGCCAGACTCCGTCTCAAAAAAAAAAAAAAAAAAAAGTTGCCTTTGGAGTCTGAAACCAATCTGTAGGTTACAGGCATCCCAGCATCTTGATTCAGGCCACCACTGATGTAACATCATCAGTTTTATGAGAAATCATGGTGACATCTGGCTGCCAAAATCCTGGTGGCTCACTGCAATCCAGAATTATTTAAATAGGCAGAGAAATACTTTCATGTCTATGAGTGTTACAAGCAGCATTTTTTTTTCTGTGTAGAGAACTATAAAATATAACCACTATTACTGAAGTGCTGTTTTGGCATCTCATTTGTAAATGTTTAGTAAGAATTTCTTGGGAGGCCAATGCGGGAGGATCACTTGAGGCCAGGAGTTCAAGACCAGCCTGGGCAATGTAATGAGACCTTATCTCTAGAAAAAATGCAAAAACGCAGCCAGGCATGGTGGCATATGCCCATGGTCCCAGCTACTTGGCAGGCTGAGGTAGCATGATAGCTTGATCCCAGGATTTTTTTTTGAGACGGAGTCTCCCTCTGTCGCCCAAGCTGGAGTGCAGTGGTACAATCTCGGCTCACTACAGCCTCCATCTCCCGGGTTCAAGTGATTCTCCTGCCTCAACCTCCCGAGTATCTGGGATTACAGGCACGCGCCACCACACCCGGTTAATTTTTGTGTTTTTAGTAGAGACGGAGTTTCACCATGTTGGTCAGGCTGGTCTTGAACTCCTGGCCTCAGGTGATCCACCTGCCTTGGCCTCCCAAAGTGCTGAGATTATAGGTGTGAGCCACTGGCCCAGCCAAGACCAGGATTTTGAGGCTGCAGTGAGTTGTGATCACACCATTGCACTCCAGCCTGGGCAACAGTGAGACTTTGTCTCTTTAAAAAAAAAAGAAAGAAAGAAAGAAAACAGAATTTCAGCAATAACTTCCCCCAGAATTGGAAGTGGCCCTGGCCCTCCAGACCCGGAGTGTGTTCCCTTCACACCTCTGGGCCTCTGTTTGTTGTTGTTGTTGTTGTTGTTGTTGTTGTTGTTGTTTTCTTTGAGACTGAGTCTCACTCTGTCTCCCAGGCTGGAGTGCAGTGGTGCAATCTCCACTCACTGCAACCTCCGCCTCCCGGGTTCAGTAGCTGGGATTACAGGCACCCGCCACCAAGCCCGGCTAATTTTAGTATTTTTAGTAGAGACGGGGTTTCACCATGTTGGCCAGGGTGGTCTCGAACTCCTGACCTCAGGTGATCCACCCGCATCCCAAAGTGCTGGGATTACAGGCGTGAGACACCGCGCCCGGCCTGGGCCTCACTTTCCACAGCTGTAAAATGAGGACAAAGCCTGTGTCTACAGGGAAACTCGAAGATTAGATGCAATCGCTGTAGAGAGTGCTTGGCCTACACTCCCTAGATTCTACCTGGCCCAGCAGGACCCTACCAGGAGGCACAAATAACACAGAGGGCCTCCCTCTTGCCCCCAGGCCAGGAAATCATCCGGTTTATTCTTGAGCACAGACAGGCCCCAGCCTGCCTTTCCTTTGTACAAACAACCCCCCTCCTTGTTCATCCAGAGGAGAAAATGGGCCCATTGTTACTGCACTGAGGGGTCACTGTTGCCAGGCAGGCAGGCGGGCGCCATCCTGAAGGCCGTGGGTGGCCTCCGACCTTTCTGGTCTGAAACAGGCTGTGCCCCTCGCCGGTTCCTGGTGTGACAGTTCCTGAGTGAGGAGGTAGGGGAATGGCTGCCGACCAGGCCAGGGTGACAGGCTGGCCCAGAAAGGCACAGGAGTTTTCTCCTTTCCCTGGTTTGACAACAAGCAAAGCACCCTGAATGTCCTGGGCTAAGAAGGACAGCGCAGAAACAAGGAGTTCAAAAATATATTCTTTAGGGCGTATAAAAAGGAGACAGTTGCATGCTACAAAAGCTAGGCTAGGGCCGGGCGCGGTGGCTTACACCTATAACTGCAGCACTTTCGAAGGCCGAGGCGGGTGGATCACCTAAGGTCAGGAGTTTGAGACCAGCCTGGTCAACATGGTGAAACCCCCTCCCCTCCCCGGTCTCTACCAAAAATATAAAATATCCGGGTGTGGTGGTGGGCGCCTGTAATCCCAGCTACTCTGAAGGATGAGACAGGAGAATCGCTTGAACCTGGGAGGCGGAGGTTGCAGTTAGCCAAAATCGCACCACTGCACCCCAGCCAGGGCGACAGAGTGGGACTCTGTCTTAAAAAAAAAAAAACAAAAAACAGAAACTCACACCCTGGCTAAAGAGGGTGCCCTGAACTCCAGGCAAGCTTGGCCAAGTCTTGCCAGAAATCCAGATCTTTGTGTTTGCATTGCCAGGTTTTTAGCAAGGGTGACTGATTCAAAGCTTAAAAACAAACAAGAACACTTCTGTCTGGGTTAAACGTCTGCACCTGGCCTGTGGGCCTATTTGAAAACTTTTTGACTGTTCAGCCTGTTCTGATGCTTAGACAGGACTTTGGCTCTGCCGTAGGGTCCCCCTGCAGGGTGCTGGTGACTCCCAAGGACACTGACAGCAGTGGCTTTCTGTCTCCATTCTGTAATCTGCATTCCGGGCTCACACTGTGGTCCCAAACACTGCAGGCTGGAGGTGGTCCCTGTCCGCCTCTTCCCCAGTGCTGTTGTCAAGGGGTGGACCAGGCCCACCGGGGGGTGGGTGGCCGGGGTCACTGGCCGGCAGGGGCCCCAGGCGCTCAGCCTCAGCCAGGGCATCCAGCAGCCCAGCCAGGGGTGGCCGGCGGCGGCAGATGTCCTGCAGCAGCTCAGCCCGGGGCTGCAACTGCCTAATGAGCTCGTCCCTCTGGTGCACGGTGGCCTGCAGGCTGTGGACAGTGGCTTCTGAGGTCATCAGCTGCTCCTGGAGTGTGGCAATCTCACTGGCAGGAAGGCAAGAGGAGGTGATTACAGAACTGAGGACCACAGCACCTGCTCCTCCCTGCTCTGGACCCGCAAGAGGTTCCCCATCACCTTTGGGATAAAGCCCGCATTCCTCACCACTGCCTCAGGGTCCTCCCTGGTTATGAACAGAATGTTTCTTTGTTTTTATTATTATTATTATATTTTATTTTATTATTATTTTTTTTTGAGACGAAGTCTAGCTCTGTCGCCCAGGCTGGAGTGCAATGGTGCAATCTCAGCTCACTGCAACTTCCGGCTCCAGGGTTCAAGCAATTCTCCTGCCTCAGCCTCCCTAGTAGCTGGGATTACAGGTGCCCACCACTATGCCCGGCTAGTTTTTTGTATCTTCAGTAGAGATGGGGTTTCACCATGCTGGCCAGGCTGGTCTCGAACTCCTGACCACGTGATCCACCCGCCATGGCCTCTCAAAGTGCTGGGATTACAGGCGTGAGCCACCACGCCCAGCCTATTATTATAATTTCTGAGACAGTCTCGCTCTGTTGCCCAGGCTGGAGTTCAGTGCAACCTCTGCCTCCCAGGTTCAAACTGTCCTCCTCAACCTCCCGAGTAGCTGGGTTTACAGGCATGCGCCACCATGCCTGACTGATTTTTGTATTTTTAGTAGAGACAAGGTTTTGCCATGTTGGCCAGACTGGTCTTAAACTCCTGACCTCAAGTGATCCACCCGCCTTGGCCTCCCAAAGTACTGGGATTACAGGCTGAGCCACTGTACCCAGCCTGAACTGCATCTTTCTGTCTCCCCAAAATTCATATGATGAAGTCCTAACCCCAATGGGAGGTGTATTAGTCCATTCTCACGATGCTCTAAGGACATACCTGATACTGGGTGATTTATAAAGAGGTGTAATTGACTCACATTTCCACATGGCTGGGGGTGGCCTCGGGAAACTTACAATCATGATGGAAGGAACCTCTTTATAGGGCAGCAGGAGAGACAGTGAGAGACCAGCAAAGGGGGAATCCCTTATAAAACCATCAGATCTCCCTTATTGATTGAGACGGAATCTAGCTCTGTCATCCAGGCTGGAGTGCAGTGGTGTGATCTCGGCTCACTGCAACCTCCGCCTCCCGAGTTCAAGCAATTCTGCCTCCTCAGCCTCCCCAGTAGCTGGGACTGCAGGCGTGTGCCACCATGCCCAGCTAATTTTTTTTTTTTTTTTTTTTTTTTTTAGTAGAGACAGGGTTTCACCATGTTGGCCAGGCTGGTCTCAAATTCTTGACCTCAGGTGATCTGACCGCTTCGGCCTCCCAAAGTGCTGAGAGTATAGGCGTGAGCCATTGCGCCCAGCCATCAGATCTCATGAGAACTCACTCACTATCATGAGAATAGCATGAAGGGGAAACCATCCCCCATGATTCATTTACCTCCCACCAGTTCCTTCCACACCACGTGGGCATTATGGGATTACAATTCAAGCTGACATTTGGGTGGAAACACAAAGTCTAACCATAGCAGAAGGGTATTTAGAGATGGAGCTTTTTGGAGGTGATTAGGGTTAGATGAGGTTGTCAGGGTGGGGGTCTCTATGATGGGATTAGTGTGCTTATATGAAGAGATACAAAAGAACTCCCTGGCTCTCTCTGCCCTGTGAGGACACAGAGAGAAGCCAGAAATCTGCAAGCCCGGAAGAGGGCCCTCCCATAACCTGACCATGCTGGCACCCTGCTCTCGGACGTCCAGCCTCCAGAACGCTGAGAAACAAACCTCTTGTTTAAGCCACTTAATTTATGGCATTTTGTTTTTTTGTTTGTTTGAGACAGAGTCTCTCTCTGTTGCCCAGGCTGGAGTGCAGTGGCACAATTTCGGCTCACTGCAACTTCCGCCTCCTGGGTTCAAGCGATTCTCGTGCCTCAACCTCCCGAGTAGCTGGGACTACAGGCGTGTGCCACCACACCCAGCTAATTTTTTTGTATTTTTAGTAGAGACAGGGTTTCGCCATGTTGGCCAGGCTGGTCTCGAACTCCTGACCTCAGGTGATCTGCCTGCCTCAGCCTTCCAAAGTGCTGGGATTACAGGCGTGAGCCACCACCCAGCCAGTTTATGGCATTTTCTTATGAGAACCCTCATTTCGTCCCCTCACTCTTCCTGCAGTTCGTTCCTTTCCATTATCTTTTCCCACCTATTCTTAGTAGGCTCTTCCTCTGGGAAGCCTTCACTCTGAGATCCCTCAGAGCCCCATATGCCCCTCCATCATGGCCGCTGGCCACCAATGATGTAACTGCCCAGTGACATGTCTGTCTCTCCACTGGACTGTGGATACCCAATGGGCAAGGCTAAGTCTTACTGATGTGCTCCAGTACTCAGCAGAATGCCTGACACACAGTAGGTGCTCAATGAAGACGAATGAATGAGTGCCTGGCACAGAGCAGGTGCTCGGTAAAAATGAATATGTCCAATTAGCTCTGAAGTAATAGTTCCCACCTGGGACCCAGCTCCTCCCACCTCCCTGGGTGCCTGTCTCATCTCTTTCATCCTCAGCTGTCAGAGGGACTCTTCAACAATGCTGATATGGGCCAGCATGGTGGCTCGTGCCTATAATCCCAGCACTTCGGGAGGCTGAGGCAGGAGGATCACTTGAGCCCAGGAGTTCAAGGCCAGCCTAGGCAACATAGTCTGACCCCATTTCTAAAGGATTTTTTTTTTTAAATCAGCCAGGTGTGCTGTCGCACGCCTGTAATCCCAGCTACTTGAGAGGCTGAGGAGGGAGGGTGAGACTGCAGTGAGTCGAGATCGCACCACTGCATTCCAGCCTGGGCAACAGAGCAAGACCCTCTCTCAAAAATAATAGATAGGCATGGTGGCTTAGCCTGTAATCCCAGCACTTTGGAAGGGTGAGGTGGGAGGACTGCTTGAGCCCAGGAGTTCAAGACCAAACTGGGCAACAGGGCAAAACTGTCTCTACAAAAAAATACAAAAAATAAGCCATGCGTGGTGGTGGACGCCTGTAGTCCCAGCTGCTTGGGAGACTGAGGTGGGAGAATCACCTGAGCTCCGGAGGTCGAGGTGCACTCCAGCCTGGGCATAGGAGTGAGGCCCTGCCTCAAAAATAATAAATTTAGGCCGGGTGCGGTGGCTCACCCCTGTAATCCCAGCACTTTTAGGAGGCTGAGGCGGGCGGATCACCTGAGGTCAGGAGTTAGAGACCAGCCTGCACAACGTGACGAAAACCAGTCTCTACTAGAAATACAAAAAATCGACCGGGCGTGGTGGCGGGCGCCTGTAATCCCAGCTACACGGGAGGCTGAGGCAGGAGAATCGCTTGAATCTGGGAGGTGGAGGTTGCAGTGAGCTGAGATCACGCCACTGCACTCCAGCCTAGGCGACAAGAGCGAAACTCCGTCTCAAAAAAATAATAATAAATTTTAAAAGTTAAAATGCTGATATGATCCCCTCCTCCCCTGCTGAAGAGCCTGCTATGGCTCCCAATGCCTACGCTGGGCGGTCTGTGGTCCCTGCGTCGCTCAGCACCTGTGGGAAAGTGGGCCTGTTTGAAGTTAGAGGTCCACACCTGTGTCACTTCTCGCAACTTTACATACTGATTACTAATTCGAGTTTTTTGGTGTTTTTATCAATCCGATACTCAGTCTAGCGTCTATACAAGTGCACACGGTTCCCCCTGCCCTTCCTCGCTTTCCAGCCTCGGCTCTGCCTCCGCCTACCGCCTCGGTGAAGTCCACCTGGCCGGCCCCGGGCCTCACCGGTCCTTGGCGCGACCCAGTTCGTCTAGGGCGGCGCGCAGCTGCTGGTCGTGGAGGGCCAGGCGCTCGGCTTGGGCGTGCACCGTGCGCTCCGCCGCGTCCAGCCGCGCCTCCAGCTCCGCTGCGCGCCGGTGCACGGCTGCCAGGTGTGCGTTTGCCTCCCGGATCTGCAGGGCCGGCGGCGCCGACATGGCCCAGGCTGCTGTACAGGCCCGGCCACGCCCCCAGGCGGCCCGGAACTGGCACAGGCCCCGCCCCCGGGAGGGCCCCGCCCCACTAGACCTCGGCGCGATTGGTCGCTGACCCCGCTAGACCCCACCCCAGAGGGCTGGGTCGTGCTCTCCTCAAACCCAAACACTACCACCGGTTCCGGGATCATGAAACTCCGCCCCTGAGTTTGGGCTCACTCTAGGATTGGACAAGATCTTGACAGCCACGCCCCCAGGCTGGCCACATCCTTTGGCGGCTCGCGCAACTCAGGCTCTGGAAACAAGATTGGTCACACCTTCGATACTGTCCCCTCCCTACTTGGAAGCTAACACCAGGATTGGCCCGGACTCCGCGAAACAGCAAGCCTGACCACGCCCCCCGAACCTGTGGCCTGTCAGGGGTAGATCCAGGCACGGCCTCGCCCCTTCATCCCTTATACAGTCTCAGATTGGTCAAGTCCCTTTTAGGTTATGCCTCCAATTCTAGCCACGCCCCCAAGTCAAGCGCCTGTGTACTTCATCCGGCCTAGGGCGTGGGACAGCCGCGGGGTGAACAGAGGCCACGTCCCGCTGAGCTTCTCGTATTGTCATTGGTCACTTTCCCGATAATCCCCGCCCCTGATCCTGTCCACGGCCCAAAACAGTAGCACGCTGCTCAGACTCCAGCTTGGTGACTGACCACAGGGCATGACCACTCGCTATGCAGATTCTGACACTGGGTGTGGCCACATCCCCGCCATGCCCCGCCCCCCAGTCATTGTTTCGTCATGTCTTGCTCCTATCAACTGGAGTCCCGCCCGTCCCAGTCTGAGCCCGGCCCCTCCCCTAGTAGATAGTCCCCGCCTCTAGTAGTCCCTAACCTAGGACTCCCTGAGCTGGGACTAGCGAAATCTGTCTGCACTGATCGCAGTCGTCCTCAGTTTCACCCTCTAGGAATCGGCCTGGGGATGCACGTGCTACTCTCTTCCTCCAGGCCGGTCCCCGGCGCGTGCGCGCGATCCATGTCCATGTCCGCGCCTATCAATAAAGTTGCTCACTTGTTGCCGGCCCGCTAGCCCGAAAGGTTGCGCGCGCAGCCCGAGAAGTCTCGCGATAGCCAGCCGCGGCTGCCCTTGCGCTTCCCGAGCTGGCGGGGTCCGTGGTGCGGGATCGAGATTGCGGGCTATGGCGCCGAAGGTTTTTCGTCAGTACTGGGATATCCCCGATGGCACCGATTGCCACCGCAAAGCCTACAGCACCACCAGTATTGCCAGCGTCGCTGGTGAGCGCCGGCCGGGCCCCGAGGGTGGAGGGCCGAGGCCGCAGGGAGGTCGTGGGGTTACTGGGGGCTGTTTGGATCGAACGGGTCTGGGAGTCTCGCGGGTACGCACGTGGTTGTCATCGGGGTGTCTTGGGCGGTCGTAGGGGGGGATCTTGTGTGAAATGGATGTTGGTAGGGGGTCCAGCAGGGTTGGGGAGCACTGGGAGGTCGTGACATGCGACAAGCTAGTCCCTGGGGTCATCTGAGGCGGTCCCAAGCTATCGCCAGGCTCGGGGAAATTGTGGAGTGAGACAGGGCTATTATCAGGTCCAAGGAGCTAAGGGACCACGAGACTTTCCAACGGGGTAGAGATTGTTAGAGGGGATCATGAGTCATGATTGGGGCATCTGAGGGCGGTACAGATGTTTGAGAAAGTTTTGGGGTGGGATGAGGTCTTTCTGTGGTCAGGGGGTGCTGGGTGGTTAGGGACACCTGAAGCTTTTACTGGGACCGCCAGAGAGGTCCTAGGTGAGGTGGATCAGGAGCTACTATGAGGGTAGCCTTGCAGGGGAATGAAGGGGACCCGCAAGCCCTGGCATTCTCCTTTTTTTTTTTTTTTTTTGAGACAGAGCCTTGCTCTGTCGCCCGGGCTGGACTGCAGTGGCGAGATCTCGGCTCACTGCAACCTTCACGTCCCTGGTTCGAGCAATTCCCTTGCCTCAGCCTCCCAAGTAGCTGGGATTACGGGCTCACGCCACCGCGCCTGGCTAATTATTTTGTATTTTTAGTAGAGACGGGGTTTCACCGTGTTGGCCAGACTGATCTGGAACTCCTGGTCTCAGGCCATCCGCCCATCTCGGGCTCCCAAAGTGCTGGGATTACAGGCGTGAGCCACCATGCCCGGCCGGCCCTGGCATTCTCTTATAGAGTAAATCTGAGTCTTGCCCCTTCCAGCCTGAGCGTTTCATGGGCATCATGCCCTTTAATTCTCAGCCACAGGTTGGGACTCATCAGGTCCCAGATGGAGCTGGAAGTCCTCTTCCCTCTGATGAAGAATCTTTACAAACTGGGCCAGGCGCGGTGGCTCACACCTGTAATCCGGCGCTCAGGAGGCCAAAGTGGGAGGATCGCTTGAGGCCAGGAGTTCCAGACCAGCCTGGGCAAAATAGCAAGATCCCCATCTCTGCAAAAAAGTAAAACAATTAGCTGGGCATGATGGTGCGTACCTGTAGTCCCAGCTACTCAGGAGGCTGAGACAAGAGGATCACTTGAAACCAGGAGTTCAAGGCTCTAGTGAGCTATGTTTGCACCACTGCACCCCAGCCTGGGCGACAGAGCGAGACCTTGTCTCAAAAAATAAAAATAATAGGCCGGGCATGGTGGCTCACACCTGTAATCCCAGCACTTTGGGAGGCGGATCATGAGGTCAGGAGATTGAGACCATCCTGGCTAACACGGTGAAACCCCGTCTCTACTAAAAATACAAAAAATCAGCCAGGCATGATGGCGGGTGCCTGTAGTCCCAGCTACTTGGGAGGCTGAGGCAGGAGAATGGCGTGAATCCAGGAGGCAGAGGTTGCAGTGAGCCGAGATTGTGCCACTGCACTCCAGCCTGGGCGACAGAGTGAGACGCTGTCTCAAAAAACAAAACAAAACAAAACCAGCCGGGCGCGGTGGCTCACGCCTGTAGTCCCAGCACTTTGGGAGGCCGAGGCAGGTGGATCACGAGGTCAGGAGATCGAGACCATCCTGGCTAACACGGTGAAAACCCGTCTCTACTAAAAATACAAAAAAAATTAGCCGGGCGTGGTGGTGGACACCTGTAGTCCCAGATACTCAGGAGGCTGAGGAAGGAGAATGGCGTGAACCTGGGAGGCGGAGCTTGCAGTGAGCCGAGATTGCGCCTCTGCACTCCAGCCTGGGCGACAGAGCAAGACTCCGTCTCAAAAAGAAAAAAAAAAAAAAACCCAAAGAAACAGTCTTTACAACCTGGTGTGTCTATAAGCTGAGGAATCAATTTGGTCAACTCTGTATTTCCAGCATATGTGAAACAGGGCCCGGCCAAAGTTGCGGCTCCATTGGGAGGCATTTGAATTAGGGCAGACCTAATCATCACTCCCATATTTTGCATATTTATTAATAGTAAGACAGACGTTATTGTGTCTCCATTTCTTACAGGTAGGGACTGAAGGTTGGAGAAGCATATTAACTGCTCCAGGGTCATTTGAAGCTGGGCTGCAAGTCCAGGTCGGCTGACCTGCTCCTAGGGGTCTCTGAAGCAAGGAATGTTCCCATCAGGTCCTTATCGAGGGTCTTCAAGAGAAAGGGCTGAAGGGGGCCACCCAGGGGATAGGATCTGAAACTGAGAAAGACGCGTATGTTGGTGTTCATGTGAGAGAGTGTGTGCATTCCTCATGTGTGAATACAAAATGAGTGGGCTGCGGTCTCAGGAGGCCTTTGGAGGAGACAGCTTGTCTCGGGGTGTGGTGCTGCTGAGTGAAGGGCCTCTGAGACCGGGGGTGCTCCCCAGAGGGTCTTAGAAGGGGAGGTCAGAACTTTTGACAGAGTTGCCATGTCAGGAGATCGCTGATGGCATCAGATTTAGATTTAGGGGTGCTCAGTGGCTTCTGTGAGCCCTCCAAGGGTGCCCCGGGGTCTTTGAGAGTGACATTCATTCTCCCTAAATTTTTCTTTTTTCTTTTTTCTTTTTTTTTTTTTTTTTGAGACGGAGTCTCATTCTGTCACCCAGGCTGGAGTGCAGTGGTGCGATCTTGGCTTACTGCAACCTCTGCCTCCCAGCAATTCTTGTGTCTCAGCCTCCCAAGTAGCTGGGATTACAGGTGCCTGCCACCGTGCCTGGCTAATTTTTGTATTTTTAGTAGAGACAAGGTTTCGCCATGTTGGCCAGGCCGGTCTCAACCTCCTGACCTCAGGTGATCCGCCCGCCTTGGCCTCCCAAAGTGCTGGGATTACAGGCGTGAGCCACTGCACCCACCCTTCTCCCTAAATTCTTCAGTGACCAGCTCCACTCATTGTGCAGAACTTGCTGAAACGTGTTTCTGGGTCCTCCCCTCACTGCCCCACTCACTTCATTCCGGGGCTCCCCTCACTTCTCATCTGAGGGAGATAAATTGTTTCCTGGCTGGCTTCCCTGAGTTGGGGACCCTGGACGGCGGGGAGACTATACTCAGCAGAGCCCAGGACCTGTGGGCACATGATAACTATGGATGAATGAATGAATGAATGAATGAAGCATCTTGTGGGCACCATTTGTGAGTGAATGAATGAGTGAATGTGGCACCTTGTTAGGTACTCGGTAACTTTGTGAATGAATGAATGAGTGGCAGTAGCTGAATGAATGAATGAATTCACACTGGGTCTGGCGGTCACTGTGGGAGGCTCAGAGGAAACCAGCAGTTTCCCTTCAGAGGGAAGGGGGCCTTTTGAAGGGCGCTGGGGGCTCCTGGAGGGGTGGATATGGCAGGACACCACAGCTGGATGACAGCTGGGGCAGAGTTGGGGTGGGGCAGTCCTTGACCTCTATGGGATAATCAGGGGGTCCCAGCTCGTCCACTCCCAGTTCAAGGACTTTGGAAGGGATGGAGGATGGTGGGCGCACTCACCGTGTCAGGTGTGCTCCATGAGCTAGGGGTCCCTTGGTCAGGACAGCTGGCATGTGGGGGTGGTGTAAGGAGGTTCCGCCCAGGAGTCCCTCGGTGACAGTTCTGGGGGCGTCACTGAGTCTTGTCGGTGGTTCCCTCTTGAGATGAGAGGGTTATAAGACTGTCATGGCTGGCCCAGCCCTGGATCAGGACTTTTCAGGTCCCAGGCAGGGCTGGCAGTCCCCTCCCATTAAGAATCTTCAAGTCCGGGCATGGTTGCTCAGGCCTTTAATCCCAGCACTTTGGGAGGCTGAGGTGGGTGGATCACCTAAGGTCAGGAGTTTGAGACCAGCCTGGCCAACATGGTAAAACCCCGTCTCTACTAAAAATACAAAAAATAATAATAATAATAATTAGCTGGGCATGGTGGCAGGCGCCTGTAATCCCAGCTACTCAGGAGGCTGAGGTGGGAAAATTGAACCAAGGAGGCAGAGGTTGCAGTGAGCCAAGTTTGCACCACTGCACTCTAGCCTGGGCAACAGAGCAAGACTGTCTCAAAAAAAAAAAAAAAAAAAAAAAGAGTCCGGGCGCGGTGGCTCACGCCTGTAATCTCAGCACTTTTGGGAGGCCGAGGCGGGCGGATCACGAGGTCAGGAGATGGAGACCATCCTGGCTAACACGGTGAAACCCCGTCTCTACTAAAAATACAAAAAATTAGCCAGGCGTGGTGGCGGGCGCCTGTAGTCCCAGCTACTCGGGAGGCTGAGGCAGGAGAATGGTGTGAACCCAGGAGGCGGGGCTTGCAGTGAGCCGAGATAGCGCCACTGCACTCCAGCCTGGGCGACAGAGCGAGACTCTATCTCAAGAAAAAAAAAAAAAAAAGAATCTTCATAGACTCCAGCTCTCTTTCAATTAGTAAATACATAAAAGAATTTGGAAGGGGGGGATGTGTGTGTGTGTGTGTGTGCACTGACTGAAGTGTGACTGAGGATGGGGCTGCTGGGCCAGGAGCAGGTGGGGAGTCCTGGGGGGACGGCTGTACTGGACTCCAGTCCCTTACCGTGGATGCAGTAGCAACCCCCTTTCCTGCCACAGCCCCCAGACCTGGCACTCCGCTCCATCCACCTTTCTTTCTTTTTTTTTTTTTTTTTTATTTTGAGACGGAGTCTCACTCTGTCCCCCAGGCTGGAGTGCAGTGGCGCAATCTTGGCTCACTGCAGCCTCCGCTTCCTGGGTTCAAGTGGTTCTCCTGACTCAGCCTCCCAAGTAGCTGGGACTACAGATGTGTACCACCATGCCTGGCTAATTTTTGTATTTTTAGTAGAGAAGGGATTTCACCATGTCGGTCAGGCTGGTCTCAAACTCCTAACCTCAAATGATCCGCCCACCTTGGCCTCTTAAAGTGCTGAGATTACAGGCGTGAGCCACCGCGCCTGGTCCTCCATCCACCTTTCTGAGGTCGAGCAGGAATCCCAGGGGTTGGTGTAGGATTAGGAGAAACCAGATCCACAAGGTACTCTTTATATGTGGTCCCTTTCTCTGCATCCTGGGTCTCAGTTTCCCCATCTGTGCTTGTGGGGAGCAGATGGTCCCTCCTATGGGCTGCTCTGAATATGTGCTCACCCCACTGCTGGATGTGAGAGTCCCCTCAGTCGCTCTTGAGGGACAGAACCAACATGAGCTGAATTGGATCTGAGGCTAGGGTGCTGTTGGGGGGGGTCACTGCCAGGCCTGGCATGTCCCATGGGTCCCTTGAAGCTGGATGGGGAACTGGGGTGGAGCCCACTCCCCTGGGGCAGTCGTGGTGGGTGAAGCATAGGCTGTGGTCAGACCTGCCTGGCGTCCAGGCTCGCTGTGCTGGGTGACCTCTGGAGAATTGCTTTACATCTCGGAGGTCCCTTCACCTCCCGTGAAGGAGGGGATAACGGGACTGAGCCCATCGGGCCCCGAGAAGGATGAGGGCCCTTGTGGCCCATCCCTGGCAGTTCTGTTTTCTCTGGGATGGGCTGGCCCGAGGAGGTCCCTGCCTGCAACTGGGCTATGTTTCGAGGCTGTAGGGAGAGGGGGGTGCTTGTTTGCCCTGAGCAGTCAGGCAGAGGATTGGGGAGCCCCGGCTCGGGCTGGCTCAATCTGCCCATCCACCATAGAGGGGCTGGTGAAGCTGGGCGGGCTCTGGGAGGACGTGGCCCAAGGGCCTGCCCAGCCTCACTCAGGACGCCCCTAGGCACCCAGCAGGGACGGTGGGCTGGGATCAAACCTCCGTCCCCACCACCTACCTGGCCCTGAGTTCTGGGCCCGGCCCCGGCCCAAGCTCCTCATGCATAGAAGCCAATGTCAGGGGCCAGGCGGCCTGGGAAATGGCAGAGATGGAAAAGCTGACCGGAGTGGCGAGGCTGGGTGGCGGGGGCGGCAGCCAGACAGCCAGGTGTGCGGGACGAGCCCAGGCCCGAGCTGCCAGCAGGAGGGGGTCGAGAGTGGCAAGGAGGAGGCGTTGGCAGCCAGGCAGGGAAGCAGAGCCACTGCCAAGGGGGATTAGGCCCAGGAGCCCCGGGCCCCACAGGAGAATAGAGCCATTGATGGGAACCTGGAGCTGGGGCCCTGGTGCCAGGGCCCGTGGGGGGCGCCGCTGAGCTGGCGGTGTGAGGCTGGAAGCAGCCGCAGAACTGAGGTCTCAGGCCTGTTCTTGTGTCCACCACGTGGATGAGTCTCCGTCTGCCGGCCGGTGCCCTGCCAGGGCCAGCATGGCTGATGGGCGCCCAGCAGGTGCTCTGCAGGAGCCAGTACTGGTCAGGCTTGAGAAAGTGGCCAAGGAAGGCCTGGCGGGGAGTGGGGAAGGAAGTGAGAGGCCCCCCAGTTTTGGAGCAGCAAACCCGAGTTCAAATCCAGCTCTGCCACTCAGCAGCCGGGGACACTATGGGCAAAGAAGGGGGGCATCGTGAGGACTGAGGGAGGGAGACCACCCAGTGGGGTGCCCGGCCAAGCAAGGGCTTAGCAGCAGTGGGGTCTGAACAGCCTCCCTCCTCTGTCTCGCAGGCCTGACCGCCGCTGCCTACAGAGTCACACTCAATCCTCCGGGCACCTTCCTTGAAGGAGTGGCTAAGGTTGGACAATACACGTTCACTGCAGGTGAGCACGCTGGGCTGGGCATGGCTGGGCCCTCTCCTGGCACAGCCCCAGCTCTCAGAGCACATTTGACGGCTGCCTCTTCTCTCTGACTCCCCAGCCCGTGTCCACAGTGCTGGCCATCCGGAGAAAGTGGGGTGTTCCTTTATCAGGAATACATGTAGGGTGGGGAGGCCCAGGAGAACAGCTCCAGGACTGGGGCCAGGAGGCTGCCATGCACAGCGAGCAGCCGACTCGTGGCATCTCTCTCCATCCAGACACTGGCAGTGAGCGCCCAAGAGGCTCCTGCTGTGCCCGTCTCGAGGCCCTTGCTCTTCCCGTCTACCCCGCAGCTGCTGTCGGGGCCGTGTTTGGCCTCACCACCTGCATCAGCGCCCATGTCCGCGAGAAGCCCGACGACCCCCTGAACTACTTCCTCGGTGGCTGCGCCGGAGGCCTGACTCTGGGAGCACGCAGTGAGTGGCCCCCTCCCCACCCCCACCCTCCTCCCAGCCTGGCAGAATGACCCCTGACCTCTGCTCATCCTCCACCCTCTCTGTTCCATCCCGGACAAGAAGTAAAGCAGCCTTCTTGAACACCAGCCATTTCAGTCATAGCGACAGCTGCTGCTGCTGCTTAAGCACCTACTGTGGCCCTCCCTGACCTGCCCTGTCCCCTCCCCACCCTCCCCTCCTCACTCTGCTCCAGCCACACGGGCCTCCTCACTGCTCCTCCCACATGCCAGGTACAGTCCTGCCCCAGGGCCTTTGCATGGGCAGTGCACTGCGTGGAATGCTGTTCCCCTCACTGTCCTGACCACCCTGTGTACAAGCCAGCATCCCCGCCGCCCTCGCTCTGTGCCGCCTTCCTTCTGTGTGCCTTGTCAGAGGACACAGGTCACCAAGGTCACCCCCTGTCTCTGCCACTGGCCTGTGAGTCAGAGAGGAGGATGGATGGAGTCTCGCCCTGCCATCTCTCTCCCTGCACCTGGAGCCCTGCAGGGGAGCTGCCCCCGCAACCTTCACTTTACAGAAAAGGGTATTAGGGCTCAGGGAGGGAATTAAGTGGCCCGAGGTCACCTGGAGGAGCAAGTGGCCTTCTTTGCAGCCATCAGAGGGTGCAGCCCTGGTGGAGAAGGCCACGCTTGGCACAGGGGAGCCCGTCTGGAGCATGAGCCAGACATCACTCCTGCCCTCCCATGGGCCCGGGCTCAGCGTCAGTGCCCGCCTGTGCCCCTGGCCTACCCCCAGCCCGCCAAGGCTCGGGCCCTCAGGGCCAGTGGGAGGAGTGAACGAGCCCTCTTGCAGCTCAGCCGCTCTGGCCTGGCATGTTGGGAGTGATGAATGGCAGGTTCCAGGCAGGCAGAGAGGGAGGGTGCGAGGGCAGGGCCTACGCCGTCACTGCTGTCTCTGCGTCAAGACCTTGGGGAGGCCTTGTCCCTCCCCAGCTCCCACTGGAACTGGTCAGAGGTTGCAGGTGGGTTGAGGTCTTGACTGTAGCCCAGCTCAGGCTGGAACTGCTCCCTGTCCCCAAGCCAGCCTCCCTGTCTCTCTTCAAAGAGTGTGAGTCCCTTTAGGTCCTGGTGTGTGGGGACACACCTCCTTCCTCCTCTGGCCCGGAGGCTTCGGAGCAGGAGAGCCTGGAGAAGTGGGGGCACTGTCGGGGCTCCTCGGTACACAGACCACGGGACAGATGCGTGGCCTGGCCCTGGCATCCATGGGCAAAGGAGAGACTGAGACACACCGATGTGTCACCATGGCCCGGTGCCCAGCCTTGCCCCAGCCCCAGCTGGGGGCAGCACGGTGTCCTCGCAGGGGGAAGTCAGTGTGGGGCGGGATGAGGACCCACAGCCTGGGTTCCTGCTGGGAAGCAACCTGGACTCCGGCCTCCCTCTGTGCATCAGTTTCCACATCTCCAGAGTCTAGGGCCCTCTTCCTGAGTGACTTAATCCCTGAAGAGAGTGTCCTGTCAGGGGTCTCAGTCTGGCTCCCAGGGTGGGCACCGGCCAGGGCGTGGAGCGTCTTGGTCCGGCCGAGCCCCACCCGGGCCTGACATCACCTCCCCACTCCCACAGCGCACAACTACGGGATTGGCGCCGCCGCCTGCGTGTACTTTGGCATAGCGGCCTCCCTGGTCAAGATGGGCCGGCTGGAGGGCTGGGAGGTGTTTGCAAAACCCAAGGTGTGAGCCCTGTGCCTGCCGGGACCTCCAGCCTGCAGAATGCGTCCAGAAATAAATTCTGTGTCTGTGTGTGTGTCAGTGTCCGGAGGGCTTGATGACGGCGACACAGCAGCCGGTGAGGGCGGATCTGGGAGGGAGTGAGGAAGGGAGATAAGATAAGGCCCCCTGCACACGCGCCTGCCTGCCGCCTGCCGTCCCTGCCAAGGGTACCAGCCTGGCCCCACAGAACTGGTAGTGCATCAGGCTGGGGCCATCGGGAGCCCAGGAGGGGAGACGGCTGGGATGCGCCCCAGCCTCTGCTTCCCCCAGTTCCCAGGGCAGGGCAGGAGCGTGCCAGTGACCTGCCAGCAAGTGGAAAATGGGCCCTGCCGCCCACAGCCCTTCCCTCAGCGCTGTGGGCTCTGGTCACAACCCCCCTGCAGATCTTGAGCCATCCTTTCTCTGGGCCTGTCCCCAAAGCCAACAACATGTGGAAAACACGCCCAGGCCCTGTCTCCAAATTCCTGGGCACTGGAGCGGAGAGCCCCGGACAGGCTGGTCCAGCAGCCGTCCCCATCCGGCAGGTCACTCGCAGCCCCTGGGGCTAGGGCAGAGCGGGACAGGACCCCCCTCAGCACCTGGCTGGTGGCAGCGACAAGGGAAAGAATTGCGATCCCTTCCTGCCACCTGTCAGGCCAGTGATTTAGGTGGCCCTGGAATGCTGGCACCACCCCGGGCCCCTTCTCCAGAACTGGCTCATGCTCCCTGGCAGCTGGAGAGGAAGCCTGCAAGCTCCCACATGCTGCGGTGGGCTGCAAATTAGGGCGCTCCAGGCTCCACCCAGGGGAGCGGAGCTGTGCACAGCCCTGGCTGGGATGGATCTGGGCCCTGCTGGTGGGCCGGGGACAGCAGGAACCGGCAGGGCTGGCTATGGCCCTCCTGACCCGTATCCGGCCCCATCTCTTCCCTTTTCTCAAGCCCATCCGCGGGGCCTAGATGTGAAAAGCCAAACTTCACTTTCAGCCTCATATCCTTCTCTGTCCACCCCCGAGTAGTAACTCAGCCTGGAACTCCCGGGCCCAAGCAATCCTCCCACCTCAGCCTCCCGAGTAGCCAGGACTATGGCCACCGCCACTATGCCTGGTTAATTTTTTTAAAAAATGTTGTAGGCTGGGCCTGGTGGTTTGAGCCTGTAATCTCAGCACTTTTGGAGGTTGAGGTGGGAGGATTGCTTGAGGCCAGGAGCTTGGAACCAGCCTGGGCAACGCAGTGAGACCCTGTCTCTACCAAAAATTCGTCTTTTTGAGACATAGTCTTGCTCTGTCTCTCAAGCTGGAGGGCAGTGGCAGGATCATGGCTCACTGGAACCTTGACCTTCCTGGCTTATGCGACTCTCTCATCTCAGCCTCCCTGGTAGCTGGGACTGCAGGTGTGCACCACTACAGCCAGCTAATTGTTTTTATTTTTATTTTTTGTAGAGACAGGATCTCACTGTGTTGTGCAGGCTGGTCTCAAACTCCTGGCCTCGAGCAGTCCTCACACCTCAGCCTCCCAGAGTGCTGGGATTATAGGCATGAGCCACTGTGTACAGAGATTCTGGGTCCCTTCTTCCAGCGCCTGCCTCGAAGTCCTCTCTGGAGAGAGCACAGATGTCCACGCGTGTTCCAGCACAAGGGGGGCATGCAACAGCTCAGGGTCACGTCCACTTCCGGAGCTGGGTGCCCGGGCCTCGGGCTCCCTGAGAAAGGGCGGACACACCCACCCCGCACCCAGAGGGGCAGGGGCCCTGACACCTGTCCAAGCCCTAATAGAGTCATTGTTAAACACTCTGGGTTCGAACCCCAGAACTTGATTCTTTCCTTGTTCTGTCCTCAGAGGACGGCAGCACCCAGGCCTCAGCTTTCCCACCTGGTAAATGGGAATAAGGGCCCCTCAGAGATGCCCCACAAAGAAAGACGATTCCACCTCCCTGCAGGCATCCCATCCACTCACGGGCATCGCATCCACTCAAGGGCACCGGCCTCTGTCTCTACTGCGGCCGGCAGGGGGCAGCGCCCACCACAGCACGGCCTGCTGGGCAGTGTGGACCCGGGCGGTCATCCCCAGGCCCCCAGCCCCGCGGTGACCACAGGCGTCAGATTCCATCCCTTCCTCCGCACTCCAGGCCTTGTCTGTCCCTCATCCCCCTTCCTTCTCATGCATCCTGCCCACAGCAGCCGGGAAGTGATGGCTTCTAGGAATGGGCAATACAGCCCCAAACCTCCAGCCAAGGACACCGAAGGCTGGACAGGAGAAAAGACTAGTCCACGTCCCCACGACGGTCACCCTCAGCCCTGCACCATGGCCGCTTCTGGGACTGGTTCCACGCAGGCCTCCGCCCCCTGCAAGCCCTTCCCCAGCCCTCCAGGCCCGTGTGCGGCCCAAACCCTGTACCAGATCTCTTAGCCCTCTTCCACGGATGCACGCGCTGAGGCCCACCCTGGGTAGTGGAGCTTGAAATTTAAAGGCCGCAAGCCCCTTCGCACCTCCCAGCCCCAGGTGCCTCCCTGTGTTCAAGGGAGCCGACGGCTCAGACCAGGAGCTGTGCTCGCCGCCCACCCAGCCCATTCCGGGCTAGCCGCCAGGGTTGGCGCAGGCCTGCCAGGCGCCCCCACCTCGCCTGCAGGACGGGCCCCCCAGAATGGAACACGAGGGGGTGGTCTCTTGCTGGGCTCCAGGGAACCCCAAAGCCGAGGCCCCCCGGCCCATAAACATTTACTAGGTTGTGGAGGGCTGACGTCACTCCCACCCCACACACAAGAGGGCCCCCGTCTGGAACATCGGTCCCAGCAGGCTCCCTGAGGGGCTGTGGGGGACCCTTCCTGAGTTTACCTTGAACTTCATGGAGCCCTTCCCAGCCCCAGGCAGTCAGGGCTGGAACTGAGGAGGGGCAGAGCCTCCCTGGGGAGCTAGGAGGGCTTCCTAGAGGAGGAGGCGGCACAGCAGAGAGGGCCCAAGGATGAAGAGGCTTTTCCATGTGTACCCAGCGGGAGGGTGGTCCAGGCAGAGCACACAGCAACAGCAGAGGCCTGCTGTGAGGGAGAGCAGTGGGCGATCAGGGGCCTCCTGGTCCAGGAGAGGTGCCTGGGGGCTGCAGGGCACACACTTGCTTCCCGAGAATCCATCCCTGGAGACACATCCCCAGCAGAGACAAGGCTCCAAGAACACCGGCCTGGCCCTGCGCCGTGGCTCAGGCCTGTAATCCCAGTACTTTGGGAGGCCGAGGCTGGGGGATCACTTGAGGTCAGGAGTTTCAGACCACCCTGGCCAACACAGTGAAACCCTGTCTCTACTATACAAAAATAAGCCAGGTGTGGTGGCAGGCACCTGTAATCCCAGCTACTTGGGAGGCTGAGGCATGAGAATCCCTTGAACCTGGGAGGTGGAGGTTGCAGTGAGCCGAGATCATGTCACTGTACTCCAGCCTGGGAGACAGTGAGCGAGACTTTGTATCAAAAATAAATAAATAAATAACGCTGGCCTGGGCTGGCGTTGACCCAGGCCCCGCCGCCGGGGGTCTCTAAGCTCTTGGGTGAGCCAAGAAAACATTCACAAGACAAAAAAAAGGGGGGGTGGGGGTGGGGAACATCAAGCTTTTCCCACCTGCCAGGCAGGTGCAGTTGTTATTATTATTTTTGGCTCATTTTAGTCTGCGCAGCCGTGCGTGAGCTCTGTTAGGCATTAGTCCTGTTTTACAGATGAGGAAACTGAGGCCCGGGAGGTGACTTCCCAGGGCCTGGCAGTAGCTAAAAGAAGTGTTACTTCTCCTAAGAATAGCTATTGTTTGGAAAATGGCAATTTGTTCCTTTAAGACTTTCTTAGTGGTCTTGGAGATTGGAGCGAAAACACCCCACTAAGGGCTGGGCGCGGTGGCTCACGCCTGTAATCCCAGCACTTTGGGAGGCCGAGGCGGGCGGATCACAAGGTCAGGAGATTGAGACCATCCTGACTAACACGGTGAAACCCTGTCTCTACTAAGAATACAAAAACAGTCTGGCATGGTGGTGGGCGTCTGTAGTCCCAGCTACTCGGGAGGCTGAGGCACGAGAATGGCGTGAACCCGGGAGGCGGAGCTTGCAGTGAGCCAAGATCACGCCACTGCACTCCAGCTTGGGCGACAGAGTGAGACTCCGTCTCAAAAAAAAAAAAAAAAGAAAATACCTCACTGAGAAAGGAAGGTGTTTTCGCTGCCAACTTGAGCACAACTGTACTCCTTTAAACTTGTGTTGAGTGTGGGCTGTGGGCTCCTATAAATGTGTTTGACATGATTGGGGTGGGACACAGCTGAGAAGACCCCACGGGGCTGATGTGTGCCCCTCCTGGGACTGAAGAGCTGCTCCCGCCCTCCCCGCATCTCGAGCCCCTTTGCCTTCAGAATCTGTCCCAGATCTGCCTCTAGTCTGATTCCATCATCACGACAAGCGTAGTCCCCTCTGCCCTGGTCACCCGGCTACCCCCTGAGCCAGAAGGCGCCTGTGAGCCCCTAAGTCAGGTCCCGCCCCTCCCCTGCCCACAGTCCTCCATGGCTCCCACCCCACTTGGGGGAAAAGCCCAAATCCTCTCTACAGCCCACTATGCCCTGTGTGTCCCGACCCCTCCTCTCCCTCCCCTCCCTCTCCTCCCCTCCCCTCTTCACTGCTCCAGCCCCACCAGCCTCCTCACTCTTCCTCCAACACCCCTGGCACAGTCCTGCCCTAGGGCCTTTGCATAGTCCATACCCTCTGCCTGCAATGCCTGTCCCCTAGATGTCCCCAAGCTCACCCCTCACCTCCTTCAATTCTCAGTTCACAAGCCACCTCCTCATCCCCCGTCCCCAGGCCACCAGCACTCCACACTCATTTGCCTTCTAGTTTTGCCCGTAGCCCCTGCCAGTTTCTAAGTCCCACGTCACCATCACGTGTGTTATTTATGTGCACCTCCTTGAGGACTGGGACGTATCCTGGCTGTTATATCCTCTGCCTACACCCCGGCACCCAGCCGAGGAACGCAGCAGGGCTCCAGAACTATGTGTGGAATGAATGAATGGATAAACAAATGAATGAATCTCCAGGTCTGCAAAGGGTAGGAGGTCCAGAGGTGGGGCCTGAGAACCACTTGCGGGTGGCTGTGCACCCTGCCTGGCCCTGCTTTGCTGCCTGGGTGGTATAGGCTCTCGGAGGGGGATCAGGGTCCTTCTCACTCTCCCCACATGAGATGATGGCTGCAGTGGAGTGCGGGAAGGCACGGGAAGAGAAGCCCTCCAGACCCGGGGGCAAGACTCAGAGTTCATTCAGCAAACAGTCATGTGCAGTATAACAGCATTTCGGTCACTGACGGACCACATATGTGAAGGGAGTCCCATGAGACTTTTTTTTTTTTTTTTTTTTTTTGACACTGAGTCTCTGCCGCCTAGGGGTTCAAGCGATTCTCCAGCCTCAGCCTCCCGAGTATCTGGGATTACAGGTGCCCACCACCACACTCAGCTAATTTGTTGTTTTTTGTTTTTGTTTTTGTTTCTTTTTTTTTCTTTTCTTTTTTTTTGTTTAGTTTGGTTTTTTGAGACAGAGTCTTGCTCTCTCACATTGTCACCCAGGCTGGAGTGCAGTGGCTCACTGCAAGCTCCGCCTCCCAGGTTGACGCCATTCTCCTGCCTCAGCCTCCTGAGTAGCTGGGACTACAGGCGCCCACTGCCACGCCCGGCTAATTTTTTTGTATTTTTAGTAGAGACCGGGTTTCACCGTGTTAGCCAGGATGGTCTCAATCTCCTGACCTCGTGATCCGCCCGCCTCGGCCTCCCAAAGTGCTGGGATTACAGGCATGAGCCACTGCGCCCGGCCTGTTTTTGTTTTTTTTTTCTGAGATGGAGTTTCACTCTGTCACTCAGGTTGGAGTGCAGTGGGGAGATCTCGGCTCACTGCAACCTCCACCTCCTGGGTTCAAGCAATTCTCTGCCTCAGCCTCCCGAGTAGCTGGGATTACAGGCTCCCGCCACCACATCCGCCTAATTCTTTTGTATTTGTAGTAGAGATGGGGTTTCATCAAGTTGGCCAGGCTGGTCTCAAACTCCTGACCTTAAGTGATCTGCCCGCCTCGGCCTCCCAAAGTGCTGGGAATACAAGTGTGAGCCACCGCACCCGGCTCCCATAAGATTTTATACCATATTTTTATTGTACCTTTTCTGTTTGTGGATGTTTAGAGACAAATATTTGTCATCATGTTACAGTTGCCCACAGTATTCTGTACAGTCACATGCTCTGCAGGTTTATAGCCTGGGAGCAGTAGACAGTACCATGAAGCCTGGTGTGCAGTACGTTCTACCATCTAGGCGTGTGTACGCTGGGATGTTTGTGCATGACAAAATCATCTAATGACGAATTTCTCCAAACATACACCCATCATGAAGCAACTACTGTGTGTGTGTGTGTGTATTTTTTTTTTTTTTTTTAAGAAAGGGTCTTGGCCGGGCGTGGTGGCTCACGCCTGTAATCCCAGTACTTTGGGAGGCCGAGGTGGGCGGATCACGAGGTCAGGAGATCGAGACCATCCTGGCTAGCATGGAGAAAAACCCTGTCTCTACTAAAAAATACAAAAAAAATTTAGCGGGGTGTGGTGGCGGGCGCCTGTAGTTCCAGCTGCTCGGGAGGCTGAGGCGAGAGAATGGCGTGAACCTGGGAGGCGGAGCTTGCAGTGAGCCGAGATCGCGCCACTGCGCTCCAGCCTGGGCCACAGAGTGAGACTCCATCTCAAAAAAAAAGAGAAAGAAAAAGAAAGACAGGGTCTTAGCCAGGCGCAGTGGCTGACACCTGTAATCTCAGCACTTTGGGAGGCTGAGATTGGCAGATCACTTGAGGCCAGGAGTTCGAGACCAGCCTGGCCAACATGGCAAAACCCGGTCCCTACTAAAAATGCAAAAATTAGGCGTGGTGGCAGGTGCCTGTAATCCCAGCTACTTGGGAGGCTGAGACATGAGAATCGCTTGAACCTGAGAGGCGGAGGTTGCAGTGAGCCGAGATTGCGTCACTGCACTCCAGCCTGAGTGATAGAGCAAGACTCCATCTCCAAAAAAAAAATAAACAAAATAAATAAATAAATAAATGAAAATCAGCTAGGCATCGTGGTGTGAGCCTGTAATACCAGCTACTCAGGAGACTAAGGCAGGAGAAACACTTGAACCCAGGAGGTGGAGGTTGCAGTGAGCTGAGATCGAGCCACTGCACTCCAGCCTGAGTGACAAGAGCAAAACTCCATCTCAAAAAATAAGAAGAAGACAAGGTCTTGCCCTGTTGCCCAGATTGGAGTGCAGTGGTGAGATCATAGCTTACTGCAACCTCAAACTCCTGGGCTCAAACGATTCTTCTGCCTCAGCTTCCAAGAAGCTGGGACTACAGGCATGCACCAACACACCTGGCTAATTTCTAAATTTTTTGTAGAGATGGAGTCTCACTGTGTTGTCCAGGCTGGTCTTGAACTCCCGGCCTCAAGTGACCCTCCTGCTTCAGCCTCCCAAAGTGCTGGGATTACAGGCGGGAGTCACTGTGGCCAGCTGCAGATCTTGCTTAAACCATAGACAGGCACTTCTGGGCCAAACATTTCCCTTGTCCTGACAAAGACCCCTGGGACCAACACTGGCCCACTAGGGTACCCCCAAAAGAGCCAAAAAGGGGGCTGGAGCCAGGCATGGTGGTACACACCTGTAGTCCCAGCTACTTAGGAGGCTAAGGTAGGAGAATCGCTTGAGCCCAGGAGTTCGAGGCTGCAGTAAGCTATGATCCTGCCACCGCACTCCAGCCTGGGTGACAGAGCGAGACCCTGTCTCTAAAAAAAGAGAGGCCCAGAGCCCTGAATGCCTTGGGGGTGCCACATCCCTGTACCCACAGGGTCCCCAGCAGAGCACAGAGGGAGGAAGAGGGAGTAGACAGGGGTAGAGATCTTAGGAAAGAGGACGTGACTCTCTCCTGGCTGTGTTCTGGTAGGAGGCCCCAGCCTTAAAGCCTAAAGCCGGGTTAGTCATTACTTCAGGGCTCCAGAAGTCGGGGCGGGACTTGCCCCCCCTTATCCTATCTGGCTTGGCGTCCAAGGCTAGGACCCAGTGGAGCCATAGTTCCCTGGTCCCACATCATCTCAGGCATCCCCTGTGTCCACAAGGGCCACACAGCCAGCGAGCCATTTGGCCTATGGGGAAACTGAGGCATAGGGAAGCTCGGGCCTTCCTCCCTGTGTATCTCTTTTCTAGCCACCCTCCCTCCACTTGCTGTGGTCCTCCTCAGAGCGTGGGCGCTCAGAGGGGCCTGGTTTGGCCCCCAGCCCCACCATTGGCGCACACAGGTCCTTCCTCTGAGCCAGCCAAGCCTCCCCTCGGGCTTCCTGGAAAGCTGGGTGGTCGGGCCGAGCTGCAAGGGGCTCCGGCAGGCCTGGCCCTGTCCCTGGCCCCAGCCCAGCCCACATCTCACCTTCCAGGGGTCCCCACTGGTCTGAACCCTCGCTGAACCAGAGTAGGAAAGGTGTGAGCCAGGACAAGAGCAGGGCTCTGGGGGGCCTCGTTGGGGGGCCTGGTGGGGGATTCAGCCCAAACTGAGGGGCAGCAGGCAGAGCGATGGCCTGGCCTGAAATCTAGAGCCACCACCCCTGCCACCCCAGCCTTTTCAAACCCATCCAAAGTCTTCTATTTTGTCCATTTTTTTTTTCTCAGCACTTTTTTTTTTTTGAGACGGAGTCTCGCTCTGTCGCCCAGGCTGGAGTGCAGTGGCGCCATCTCGGCTCACTGCAAGCTTTGCCTCCCGGGTTCACGCCATTCTCCTGCTTCAGCCTCCCGAGTAGGTGGGACTACAGGCGCCCGCACCAAGCCCGGCCAATTTTTTTGTATTTTTAGTAGAGACGGGGTTTCACTGTGTTAGCCAGGATGGTCTTGATCTCCTGACCTCATGATCCTCCGGCCTCGGCCTCCCAAAGTGCTGGGATTACAGGCATGAGCCACCGCGCCCGGCCTTTCTCAGTATGCTTTCTAAAATGCATTTTACAGTTTATCCTCCTTCTTTTAGAGGTAAGACAGACGCATGCCATAGAATTCAAAAGATTCTAGAGGGTGTTTAGAATAAATACCAGCCACTCCCCAAGCCCCACGCCATCCCCAGAGGCCATTAGTCGGTTTCTTGTTTCTCCTTCCAGCCATGTTCCACGCCAAAACAAGCATGTCTGTATATTTTCTTTTCCCCACGGAAACAACATCACACTCCCCGTGCTTTCTTGCAGCTCAGCGTAGTTGACTCCTAACAATGCATCTCGGATCTTTTCTTCGAGTGCAGAACTTCCCCCTCTTTTGTAAGGACAGTGTAATATTCCATCTTGAGGCTGGACCATTGTTCTGGTGAAAGCACATGTCCTGGCCTCCAGTCTTCTGCTACTATACACCGGGCAGCAATGAAGAAATTTTTTTTTTTTTTTTTTGAGACGGAGTCTCACTCTGTCACCCAGGCTGGAGTGCAGTGGCACAATCTTGGCTCACTGCAAGCTCCGCCTTCCCTGTTCACACCATCGTCCTGCCTCAGCCTCCCGAGTAGCTGGGACTACAGGTGCCTCCACCACGCCCAGCTAATTTTTTGTATTTTTAGTAGAGACGGGGTTTCACCGTGTTAGCCAGGATGGTCTCGATCTCCTGACCTTGTGATCTGCCTGCCTCGGCCTCCCAAAGTGCTGGGATTACAGGCGTGAGCCACCGAGCCCAGCCAAGAAATTGTAATAAATGTCATTTTTGGCTGGATGTGGTGGCTCACGCCTGTAATCCCAGCACTTTGGGAGGCCAAGGTGGGCAGATCACCTGAGCTCAGGAGTTTGAGACCAACCTGGCCAATGTGGTGAAACCCCATCTCTACTAAAAATACAAAAAATTAGCCGGGCATGGTGGCGCATGCCTGTAATCCCAGCTACTTGGGAGGCTGAAACAGAAGAATCACTTGAACCTGGGAGGTGGAGGTTGCAGTGAGCTGAGATCAGGCCATTGCACTCCAGCCTGGGCGACAGAGCAAAACTCCATCTAAAAAAAAAAAAAAAGTTCATAGTTGACATGAGGGTTCACTCTTGGTGTTGTATGCATATATTCTGTGGGTTTGGATGAATGTGTAATGACATATGTCTACCATTTAACAGTATCATGCAGAGTAGTTTCACTACCCTAAAAATCCACTGTGCTCTGCCTGTTCGTCCCTTCCTCCCCCAGCCCCTGACAGCCACTGACCTTTTCACTGTCTCCATAGTTTTCCTCTTTCGGGAATATTCTGTAGCTAGAATCATACAGTGTGTCACCTTTTCAAATGGGCTTCTTTCACTCAGTAATATGCATTGAAGGGCTGGGCGTGTTGGCTCACGCCTGTAATCCCAGCACCTTGGCAGGCGGAGGGAGGCCTGAAGTCAGGAGTTTGAGACCAGCCTGGCCAAGATGATAAAACCCCATCTCTACTAAATATACAAAAATTAGCCAGGTGTGGTGGCCAGCGCCTGTTATCTCAGCTACTCAGGAGGTTGAGGCAGGAGAATCGCTTGAACCCAGGGAGTGGGGGAGAGTTTGCAGTGAGCCAAGATTGTGCCACTGCACTCCAGCCTGGGCAACAAGAGCGAAACTCCGTCTCAAAAAAAAAATGCATTTAAGGTTCCTCTGTGTCTTTTCATGGCTTGACAGCTCATTTCTTTTTAGCACTGAATTTTATATTTTATATAGATATAGATATAGATATAGATATATAGATATAGATATAGATGGAGTCTTCCTCTTTCACCCAGGCTGGAGTGCAGTGGCGCGATCTCAGCTCACTGCAATGTCTGCTTGGGTTCAAGAGATTCTCCTGCCTCCTGAATAGCTGGGACTACAGGTTCGTGCCGCCACGCCCAGCTAATTTTTGTATTTTTAGTAGAGACAGGGTTTCCCCATGTTGACCAGGCTGGTCTCGAACTCCTGACCTTAGGTAATCTGCCCGCCCCTGCCTCCCAAAGTGCTAGGATTACAGCCGTGAGCCACCGTGCCCAGCCTGAATAAAATTTTGTCATCTGAGCACACCACAGTGTTCTTACCCATTCTCCTGCTGAAGGACATCTTGGCTGCTTCCCAATCTTGGCAACTGTGAATAATGCTGCTGTAAACATCTGTGTGCAGGTTTTTGTGTGGATGTTAGGTTTTCAGCTCCTTTGGGTAAATACCTAGGAGTACCATTTCTAGGTCTCATCCTAAGAGTATGTTTAGTTTTATAAGAAACTGCCAAACTGTTCCAAAGCGGCTGTACCATTCTGCATTCTCACCGGCAATGAATGACACTCCCTGTTGCTCCCTGTCCTCAGGGGTTCGGGGCATTTGGGGTTGCTGTTGGCAGGGCTTTGGATTTGGCCATTCTAATAGGGGTGTAGGGACATTTTTTTTCTTTTTTTTTTTTTCTTTTTTGAGACAGAGTTTCATTCTTGTCGCCCAGGCTGGAGTGCAATGGTGCGATCTCAGCTCACCGCAACCTCTGCCTCCTGGGTTCAAGCGATTCTCCTGCCTCAGCCTCGTGAGTAGCTGGGATTACAGGCATGCGCCACCATGCCTGGCTAATTTTGTATTTTTTAGTAGAGATGGTGTTTCTCCATGTTGGTCAGGCTGGTCTCAAACTCCCGACCTCAGGTGATCTGCCCGTCTCAGCTTCCCAAAGTGCTGGGATTACAGGCGTGAGCCATCACACCCGGCCGTTTCTTTTTTTCTTTTTTTTTCTTTTTTGAGGCAGAATCTCACTCTGTTGACCAGGCCGGAGTGCAATGGCGTGATCTCGGCTCACTGCAACCTCCACCTCCTGAGTAGCTGGGACTACAGGTGTGTGCCATCACACCCAGTTAATTTTTGTATTTTTAGTAGAGATGGGGTTTTTCCAGTTTGGCCAGGATGGTCTCGATCTCTTGACCTCGTGATCTGCCCGCCTTGGCCTCCCAAAGTGCTGGGATTACAGATGTTAGTCACCGCACCCAGCCTTGTCTGTTTGTTTGTTTTTTAAGAGACAGGATCCCCCTTTGTCATCCAGGCTAGAGTGCCCAAGAGAGAGGAACAACATGTGTGATAGCTCAGAGGAGAGACAGAAAGGGGAGTGGCTAAGAGCATGGAAGAGTACGAGGTTCTAGATCCTTCTCTGGGTGTCAGTTTCCACTCCTTAGCCGTGAGCCACTCTCTTGAGCAAGTCTGGCAGATGGGAAGCTGGAAGGTCAAGGCTGGGGCATCCATCCTACCCCTGCCTGGATATGGGGAGGCAGGAGTGCCAGAGCAGCCCCCTCTGCGTCTGGGGGGCCCAGCAGGACCCCGTCCAGGTGGAGATTGGGAAGGGTGAAGGCATCCAGAGGTGCTTCCCTGGACTCCTGCCTCGACAGGAAAGGAAATGGCAGGGTGGGGGTGGCAGAAGTCTGTTTCCCGCCCCTGCCCCAAATTGGATGCTTCCTGCCCCAGGCCAGCTCCTTGGTGGGCCGGGACCCCTTTCCCACCCATTACTGCCTCTCTAATGGGGGCCTCACCCCCATTAGTGAGGCCGCCCACTGCAAGCCTGGGAGTCCCAGGTGTTCCCAGCCCACACTCCCCCTGCCGAGTGACCGTTAAAGATGAATAATGAGCCTGGCAGGAGGGACCTGGGAGGTGGTGATGAGGGGCTGGCCCAGCGGGTGAGGGCCAGGGAGGCCCCGAAGCCTCCTCCATCTGGCTGGTCCCGGAGGCACCTGGGAAGCCCATTAGGAAGGCGTCGCGTCCTGGAAGCCACCTGAGCGCCTGGTGTGGCTCTGATTTCACCTCCTTAATGCCTGCCTTTGCTCTTAGCACCTGCCCGCTACAGGGACTGCCCCCCACCCCCACCCAGCTGAAGTCATCAGAGTTAGCAAATAAAAATCCAAGACATCCAGTTAAGTTTGGATTTCAGATAGATCATGAATCACGGCTTGGCGTAAGTATATCCCATGCAATTCTTGGGATATACTTACAGCATCATTCATTCCTTTTTTTTTTTTTTTTTTTTTGAGATGGAGTTTTGTTCTGTTGCCCATGCTGGAGTCCGGTGGCGCGATCCTGGCTCACTGCAACCTCCACCTCCCAGGTTCAAGCGATTCTCATGCCTCAGCCTCCCAAAGTGCTGGGATTATAGGCATGAGCAACTGCACTGGTCTGGAGTGGATCTTTTTTTTAATTTTTTTTTTTAATTTTTTTGAGACAGAGTCTCGCTCTGTCGCCCAGGCTGGAGTGCAGAGGCACAATCTCAGCTCACTGCAACCTCTGCCTCCCGGGTTCAAGTGATTCTTCTACCTCAGCCTCCTGAGTAGCTGGGATTACAGATGCGCGTCACCACGCCCAGCTAATTTTTGTGGAGTGGATGTATTTTAATATCTCACCATCTGCACGAGGTTTCCACAGCCCACCAGCCCTGTCCCCGCCCCCTCCTTGACCCTTCCCTGGCTCAATGAGGGTGTTTTAGGTCCCCAGCAGGTCACTGGCACAGCAGGCATCTCTTGGAATTTGCACAAAAAGACCCAAAGTTACTGTAACTCTGGAAACCTCTGGAGAGGTCCCTAGGGGAGAGTGAGTGAGGGGCCGCATGCCCGCCTCCGCCAAGGACTCATCGCTCAGGGTCTCTTTCATCTCCCCTGGCTTTCAGGGAGACCTCCAGGTGAGAACACACTCCCTGAATCCCAGGTTCGAGTCCTGACTCTGCTGCTTTTGAGTTTTGTGGCTATCAGCCTCCCTTTTTCTCAGTGCCTTGGTTTCCTCACCTGCAAAATGGGGATAAATCACAATGCCATTACTGATAGCAGCTGTCGGGGTTGTTGAGAGGACCACGTGCATTGATTTCTTCAAGGAGCTTTGTCCGGCATACAGCGCTCACTTAAGTGATGGCCGGGGCCCCAGCCTCCCTCCTGGCCCAGGGGGAGGGGCTGAGCGGGAAGTGGAGGTTAATTTTAGCCCTGATGACACCCGCTGGCCGCCTGCCTTGTCCAAACATCCCCAGCCAGGCGTGAGGTTCAAAGTGTCCCCCCACCCCCAGCCTCTGACATCCAAGGAGCCTGTTTATTCATTCTCGTCTGCGGCAGCATTCTTTGCCTGCCTGTGCCTGCCACCCGGCCTCCTCCATCTCCAGCCCTGCGAGGTCCTGCCCTGTGTCACTGGGGGTGAGGACTACCTCACCTGCAGATTCCCCTGAGGCAGGCTGTAATCTCTGGGGTGGTCGGTGGGGGGTGGGGAAGGGGCAGGGGGAGGGTCACTCCTGCCCCAGAGTCCAAAGATCTTCAGTCTTCGTTTATAATTCTCCAAGTGGGAGTTCAAGCTTCCATCACAGACAAGGACATTTATTCAGCACCTGTTTACTGAGTGCCTACTGGGTGCCAGGTCATACTGGGGACCCAAGCCCTGCCCCATGAGCCGCCCAATCTGGGGAAGACACTGACAAACCAAGAAATAAACAAGATCTTTTTTTTTTTTGAGACGGAATTTCACTCTTGTTGCCCAGGCTGGAGTGCAATGGCACAATCTCGGCTCACCACAACCTCCACCTCCCAGGTTCAAGTGATTCTCCTGCCTCAGTCTCCTGAGTAGCTGGGATTACAGGCGTGCACCACCACGCCCGGCTAATTTTGTATTTTTAGTAGAGAGAGGGTTTCTCCATGTTGCGGGGAGTGTATGGAGACGCCACCTTGGGAAGAGATGCGCCAGAATTTGCAGTCCTCTCCCTCCCTGTTGGAGTACCCTGGAGGATAGAAATTTTTCCCTACCCGGAGTCTCAGAATGTTCCAAAGACCTCAACTGGTCTCAAACTCCCAACTTCAGGAAGTCCCCCCACCTTGACCTCCCAAAGTGCTGGGATTATAGGCCTGAGCCACCGCGCCTCACCAATTTTTTTTTTTTTTTTTTTTTTGAGACGGAGTCTCTTGCCCAGGCTGTAGTGCAGTGGCGCGATCTCAGCTCACTGCAACCTCCGCCTCCCAGGTTCGTGCAATTCTTGAGCCTCAGCCTCCCAAGTAGCTGGGATTACAGGCGCTCACCATCCCGCCCAGCTAATTTTTCTATTTTGAGTAGAGACAGGGTTTCACTGTGTTGGCCAGACTGGTCTCGAACTCCTTACCTCGTGATCCACCCACCTCAGCCTCCCAAAGTGCTGGGATTACAGGCGTGAGCCCCTGTGCCTGGCCTATTTATTTTCGCTTATTTATTTATTTATTGAGTGAGTGAGTGAGACAGAGTTTTGCTCCGTCGCCCAGACTGGAGAGCAGTGGCGTGATCTCATCTTACTGCAACCTCCACCTCCAACCTCCACCTCCTGGGTTCAGGTGATTCTCCTGCCTCATCCTCATGAGTAGCTGGGATTACAGGCACCCACCACCATGCCCAGCTCATTTTTTGTAAGGCTCTGCCCTTGTTCTGAAGTCAAATCTCAACACTGTCTCCCTCTGGGAGGGGGAGTGACCAGAGGCTACAGCTGGGCTGAGGGACTGAGTGGCTGCAGGTGGATACCAAATATAAATTGAGGTCTTTGGAACATTCTCAGAGTCTGGGTAGGGGAAAATTTCTACTCTTCAGAGAACGCCAACAGGGACAGAGTGGACCGTAACTCCTGGTGCATCTTTCCAAGGTGAGTGGCATCTCCATACACTCCCTGCAGGGCTGGCCCAGGTGCCCAGGTCGCTGGCTCTACTGGCTGTAATTTTTGCCGATGGAGAGACAGGTGCTTAGAAACCTTGAAAACATCGCCTGAAAACAAACCAAGAAAATTATGCTTTTTGGCCCGGTGCGGTGGCTCACTGCTGTAATCCTAGCACTTTGGGAGGCCAAGACAGACTGATCACGAGGTCAGGAGATTGAGACCATCCTGGCTAACACGGTGAAACCCCATCTCTACTAAAAATACAAAAAATTAGCTAGGCGTCGTGGCGCGTGCCTGTAATTCCAGCTACTCGGGAGGCTGAGACAGGAGAATCACTTGAACCCAGGAGGCGGAGGTTGCAGTGGGCTGAGATTGTGCCACTGCACTCCAGCCTGGGCAGGCGACAGAGGGAGACTCCGTCTGGAAAAAAAAAAAAAAAGGAAAGAAAATTATACTTTTCACCTCCAGGTTCCAACAGACCACCTCCTAACCGTTTTCGTTCTCGGAAATACCTTCATTGGGCCGGGTGTGGTGGCTCACGCCTGTAATCTCAGCACTTTGGGATGCCGAGGCGGGCAGATCACTTGAGGTCCGGAGTTCGAGAACAGCCTGGCCAACATAGTGAAACACCATCTCTACTTAAAATACAAAATTTAGCTGGGCGTGGTGGCGGGCATCTGTAATCCCAGCTACTCGGGAGGCTGAGGCATGAGAATTGCTTGAACTCGGTAGTGGGAGGTTGCAGTGAGTCGAGATCGCACCACAGCACTCCAGCCTGGGCGATAGAGCAAGACTCAGTCTCAGAAAGAAAGAAAGAAAGAAAATACCTCCATTAGCTTTTCTGATTCTAAAATTGCCACTCGCACACTTCACAAAACCTTTCCAGAATGAGAGAAAGGCCTCTTTGTTCCCCGGCCCCATGTATTCCCTGGAATTTTCTCTCCCCGGGCAGGGAGGTAAATGCTATTGTTATTTTTTCACACACAAGGTTTTGCAATGGGCTTTATTTCCACTCCACAATAGATGGCCCCACAGCTTTTATTTCTAGAAATTGGAAAATGAAGCGTGTCCAGCCCCCGCCTCTTCACCCACCACAGGCTGAAATTTAAGCTGCATGAACCCAGCTGGGCCTGGGTACCAGGGGTGGGCAGACCTCAGCGTGTTGGTGCCAGGGGACCCGGGGGTGAGGCCAGGGTCAGGTTTCTAGGGGGTGCCAGGTTTCTGTCACCGTCACCTGGGGCTTCCCGCACTCCCTGTCTGTTTAGTGGCCCCAGCACCATGTAGATGAGCAGGGAGAGGCTGAGTTCTTACAAGTATTACAGGAGGGGAAACCGAGGCCCGCAGAGGGCCAGGGACCCAGGCCAAACATTCCAGCCTGTAGAGGGGGTACGCAGAGACCCTGTGGGGCGGTGGGAGGATCAGCGTGACCTTCCAGGTCACCTCAACCTCCTGAAGAAGGTGCCGGCAGTGGCTCCACTCTACAGAGGAGGTGGCTGACGCCCAGAGAAGTTGAGGAACTCATCCAAGGCCACACAGCTGCCAGAGGTGAAAGTCGGTTTTCTGAAGATCTCAGGGTCAAGAACTCCAAAGTCAGGCAAGTCCCCCATAGAGCCCTGCTCCACCACTTAGGGGCTGCAGGTGGCTTCTGACTGTAAGTGAGGATATCTGGAACATTCTAGTGTTGGGGGAAATTGCTGCTCTCTGGAGAATGCCATGGGGGACCTGGTGGTGCAGGGTGGTGGTGACTCCCAGGTGCTATCTAAGCCTCGGTTTCCCCATCTGTACAGTGGACATGCAGAGGTGCCTGTGATGGCTCCCCCAGGCCCAGGTAGAAGGGTGGAGGGGCATAGGGTGGGGAAGGTGTGGGGGGCCTGAAGAGTCTCTGCTAAGCCCCCTGGTGACTCCGGGCCTGAGCCAGCCTTGCTGGGCCCATCACTCACCTGCCACACACACCACCCACCTGGGCCCCTCTCCCCACCACCTGGCTGCAAGCCAGGGGTCCTGGGAGGGGGACGGGGCCCTCGGCAGGCCAGGCCAGGGCTTCCTAACAGGCTGGGGCAGGCCCAGTCCCCAGGGGGTAAGAGGTGTGGGGACAGGCTGCTCTGTCCCCTGATGCCCCTGGAGCCCCCGTGGTCTCCGCCTCTCCCTGAGCTGATGTCAGAGTGAACAGCTCCCTTTCCCAACTTCTCTTTCTCTCCCTCTGGAATTTCCTCTGAGGCTTAGAGGGACATGGAAACCCTCCTTGGGTTCCACAAGGGCAGAAGACCAGCCACCTGGCCAACATTGGGGGACCCTGGCCTGCCCCCTCTGGAACACCAGCACTGCCCTCAACCCCCCATTGTCTCCCCATGTGCCCCAGATCTCACATGTGGTTCATGGTGCACCCAGCCCAGCCTATGGGGCCTTCTCCCTCCTCCTGAGCGGCAGCTGCCCTTGGCTCCCAGCCCTTAGGCCCCAAGGGGAGAGAAATTTCCAGCAGGCTGACAGCTTTATCACCCACCCAGCCCAGGCTGAGGGAGGAGCTGGGGTGTCCAATGAAGACCAGGACCCCAACGAGGGGCACAGATGGCCTCACCGCACCCCCCAAGCAAGTCTCAGCTCATCTGAGCCAGAGGGAAGAGATCCTCGCGGCCTGAGCCTAGAATCAGGGGCACGGGTGGTTGGAGGAGCCAGTAGAAAGGATGATCTGGCTGGGAGGGCAAGAGAGCCCCTATCTGGGGAGGCTCCCTGGAGGAGCTGTTTTCACCGAGCCCTGAAGGATGACTGGGAATTAAGCAGGAGGCAGGGGGCAGAGAGTACAGCTGTCCAACTGAAGACAGCCTGGTGCGATTGAGACTCCCAGTGACTTGAGTAGTGAGCGCCCTCTCTCAGGACCTGTCTTCACATCCACAGGACAGCTGTGTGGGATGGAAGCGTTGCCGGTCCAGGCTTGGCTGGGGCTCCAGGACAAAGTCACACCAAGACTGAGAGCCCCATGAGTTATGTTTTTTTGGGTTTTTTTCTTTTTGTGATGGAGTCTCACTCTGTCACCCAGGCTGGAGTGCAGTGACCCAATCTTAGCTCACTGCAAACCTCTGCCTCCCGGGTTCAAGTGATTCTCCCGCCTCAGCTTCCAGAGTAGCTGGGATTACAGGTGTGCACCACCACACCCGGCTAATTTTTGTATTTTTAGCAGAGACGAGGTTTCACCATGTTGGCCAGGCTGGTCTCAAACTCCTGACCTCAGGTGATCTGCTCACCTCGGCCTCCCAAAGTGCTGGAATTATGAGTGTGAGCCACTATACCCAACTTCTATGAGTTATGTTTTAATCAGTCACAGACAATGCCCCCAGCGAGGACATGAACAGAGAACAGACTCAGGTCATCCCTTCTGGAAATGGCTTGCCTGGGAGACCGCAGTCCCTGGCCCAGCCCTGGCCAGTCGATCTTCCCCACTGGCCTGGGCCTGGCTGGGAACTGAGACGGTGAAAGTCTGGGGCAGCATGAAACGGCCTCCTGGAAATTATTTCTAGAACAGGGAAGTCGTGATACCTGAAAGTGAAACGTGGGCTCTGTCACCTCTGTACCCAGCTTGGGAGTGACAGAGTTTAAGGACATCCTCTGTCAAAGACATCCTTCCACATCCTTTCTCTTCTGCATTCCAGGAAACTTACTTGGCTTCTTGGACTTCTACACTGCCCTGCAGGAGTGGGCGGGGAAAGGGAGTGGCTTTGAGGCACACAGAAGGGCTTGGTGAGGCCACCAGAGTGGGGCCTGTGCCTAGTGTGTCAGAAGAGAGCATCTCAGGACGGGTGTGGGGGCTCCCGCCTGTAATCCCAGCACTTTGGGAGGCTGAGGTGGGCTGATCACTTGAGGTCAGGAGTTCGAGACCAGCCTGGCCAACATGGTGAATCCCCATCTCTAGTAAAAATACAAAAATTAGGTGGGCATGGTGGCGGGTACTTGTAATCCCTGCTCCTGAGGCTGAGACAGGTGAATCTCTTGAACCCAGGAGGCAGAGGCTACAGTGAGCCAAGATCATGCCACTGCACGCCAACCTGCACTCCAGCCTGGGCAACAGAGCAAGGCTATCTCAAAAAAGAAAAGAGAGCATCTCAAACCACACATCAACATGGTAACCCCTCTGCTTGAAGCCTCCAATGGCTCCCTATTGCCCTGGTGCTGAACACCCCATGGCTGACCGTGGCCTGGCCTCTGCGACAGCTCTGCCTCTTCTCCCATGGTGAAGACCCAGCCTGCTGAGACTCCCCCCAGTTCCTCCAACGTGCCTGGACCTCTGCTCCCTCGGGGCCTTTGCATAGGTTGTTCCCTCTACCCAGAATGCTTTTCCCTCCCCGCTTTGTTTAGAAGGCCACAGTTTTAATTGTTAGTTCCCTTATAAGGCTCGCGTATTGTCGGTGACTCACCCTCCAGCTCCTTGCAGGAGTGCTTGGCCTGGCACTTAGTAAGTGCTTAGGAAATATTTGTGGTTCTGTGTTTTTTTTGTGAGACAGAGTCTTGCTCTGTTGCCCAGGCTGGAGTGCAGTGGCTTGATCTCAGCTCACTGCAGCCTTTGCCTCCTGGGTTCAAGTGATTCTCATGCCTCAGCCTCCTGAGTACCTGGGATTACAGGCATGCACCACCATGCCCGGCTAATTTTTTTTTTTTTTTTTTTAGTAGACATGGGGTTTCACCATGTTGCCCAGGCTGGTCTTGAACTCCTGACCTCAGGTGATCCGCCTGCCTCGGCCTCCCAAAGTGCTGGGATTACAGGTGTGAGCCACTGTGCCTGGCCTTCAGGAAATATTTGCTGATGAACTAAGTGGGAGGTGGGATCTGGTGGGAAGGAAGGCGGGAAGGTGGAAATTCTGCTCACTTCCCCATTCCCACCTCCCAAGGAACCCCTGGTGTCCCTATGGAACCCACTTTGGGAACCAGTGGTTCAGGTCAGCCTTTTCCCTTTGTGCTCAAAGCCGCATTGCATTGAGGCCACCGGTAGGACCAGGGTCATGACCTAGGCCTCCAAATCCCTGCACCCTTTCCAATTCTACAGCAGGGATTAGAGGAGACACACAATTTGCTTTCAGAGGATGTCCCAGCTCCAGGACAGGACACACTGGGTCACCTGATGGCAGGTGCAGTGGTTGGACAGAGCCTGGCTTCAGCTCCAGGTATACTTCCTCCTTCCTGCTGCTACCTGGTCTGGCCTCTTCCACGTCCTGAGAATCCAGCTGGTACTCTGTCCTCAGCCTCCTGGGGAGGTGCTCTCATCCTGGGCATGCTGCCCCCGCCATCCAGGGAGAGAGTCTTGGGGCACCTTTATCCCCAACCCAGAAATCACGGGAGACCTCGTAGGAAAGGCGTCCTGGCTCCGTTTGTTCCCACCTCAGCGCCGGTCCTGTCTGCTGTGATTCAGGATGCAGCTGGATGGGCACAGAATCCCCGGAGAAGGGTCTGCAGGCTGTGCAGTGGCCTGGAATTTGGCCAGCAGGCCCTAGTCGCAGGCAGGGGTCTTTCTGGGTGCTGCATGTAGTGGGATGGAGGAGGGGATGGAAGGTTCTGGCTGATTCGCCAAACCAGGAGGAACTGGGCATGCTTTTTTTGGGGGGGACGGAGTCTCACTCTGTCACCCAGGTTGGAGTACAGTGGCGCCATCTTGGCTCACTGCAACCTCCACCTCCCTGATTCAAGCAATTCTCTGGCCTCAGCTTCCTGAGTAGCTGGGATTACAGGTGCCCACCACCATGCCTGGCTAATTTTTTTTTTATTTTTAGTAAAGACGGGGTTTCACCATGTTGGCCAGGCTGGTCTTGAACTCCTGACCTCAGGTGGTCCACCCGCCTCAGCCTCCCAAAGTGCTGGGATTACAGGCATGAGCCACTGTGTCCAGCCCAGGCATTCTTTTTCTAGAAAAAAATATCTTGGGTTCAACTTGGGTGGGACCTCAGCCCTGACCACCCCTGAATTACCCATTTTCCCCAATCTACCCTTCTTTTTTTTTTTTTTTTTTTTTTTTTTTTTTTTAAATTGAGATGTCGTCTCGCTCTGTTGCCCAGGCTCCTGTGCAGTGGTGTGATCTCAGCTCACTGCAACCTCCACCTCCCAAGTTCAAGCAATTCTCTGTCCTTGGCCTCCCAAAGTGCTAGGATTACAGGTGTGACCCACCACACCTGGCCCCAATCTACCCTTCTATACCTCGTTAAAATATACTTCACTGTCTCCTAAGAGGGGCTGCCATGAACCCAGGGCCCATGTAATTCCATCTTAATATCAATTACTTTATAAAAATTAACCTGTGCCTGGCCGGGCGCAGTGGCTCACACCTGTAATCCTAGCACTTTGGGAGGCCGAGGCGGGCGGATCATGAGGTCAGGAGATCAAGACCATCCTGGCTAACACGGTGAAATCCCGTCTCTACTAAAATACAAAAAATTAGCCGGGCCCTGTAGTCCCAGCTACTCGGGAGGCTGAGGCAGGAGAATGGCGTGAACCCAGGAGGCGGAGCTTGCAGTGAGCCAAGATAGTGCCACTGCACTCCAGCCTGGGCAACAGAGCGAGACTCCGTCTTAAAAATAAAAATTAACCTGTGCCTGAGGCTCTAGAGTCCAATGGTACAAAGCAGTAATTGGTCAAAGTTCAACCTCCCTCCCACTCTGGGCTCGGACTGTGCCCTGAGGGCTTGTGTTTTGAATCTCTTTCCAGAACCTTGGCATGAGCTTGGGACTGGGTGTCTGGATCACTTCATCACACCCAGGTCACCTGCTGCAAGGTTAAGACCAACTTGGCCCAACAGAGAAAGCTGGCAACCCTACATCATTTTAAAACAGCTTCATCGGCTGGGCGTGGTGGCTTATGCCTGTAATCCCAGCACTTTGGGAGGCCAAGGCGGGTGGATCACTTTAGGTCAGGAGTTCGAGACCAGCCTGGCTAACGTGGTGAAACCCCGTCTCTACTAAAAATACAAAAATTAGCTGGGCATTGTGGTGTGTGTCTGTAATCCCAGCTACTTGAGAGGCTAAGGCAGGAGAATCACTTGAACGCAGAGGTGGAGGTTGCAGTGAACTGAGATTGTGCCACTGCACTCCAGCCTGGGCAACAGAGCAAGACTCAGTCTCAAAAATAAATAAACGGTTTCATCAGGATGTAATTCACATACCATACAGTGAGCCAACTTAAGGTGTACAAGTAAATAAGTCAATGGTTTTTGGTGTGTTACCTTTTTTTTTTTTTGAGACGGAGTCTCACTCTGTCGCCCAGGCTGGAGTGCAGTGGTGCTATCTCAGCTCACTGCAAGCTCCGCCTCCCGGGTTCACACCATTCTCCTGCCTCAGCCTCTCAAGTAGCTGGGACTACAGGCGCCCGCCACCACGCCTGGCTAATTTCTTTTTGTATTTTTAGTAGAGACGGGGTTTCACCATGTTAGCCAGGATGGTCTCAATCTCCTGACCTGGTGATCCGCCCGCCTTGGCCTCCCAAAGTGCTGGGATTACAGGTGTGAGCCACTGCGCCCAGCCACCTTATTTTTAAATTGTAATTCCATATATCCATACATATATGTATAACATAAACTTCACCATTTAGGCTTTTTTTTTTTTTTTTATGAGAGAGAGTTTTGCTCTTGTTGCTCACTGCAGCCTCTGCCTCCTGGGTTGAAGTGAGTCTTCTGCCTCAGCCTCTTGAGTAGCTGGGATTACAGGTGTGCACCACCATGCCCAGCTAATTTTTATATTTTTAGTAGAGACGGGGTTTCACCATGTTGGCCAGGCTTGTCTCGAACTCCTGACCTCAGGTGATCCTCCCGCCTCAGCCTCCCAAAGTGCTGGGATGACAGGCGTGAGCCACCGCACCTGGCGCATTTAGGCATTTTTAAGCATACAATTCAGTGGCATCGCGTGCAGTGTTGTGCAACCATCACTCCAGCATCTTTCCAAAACTTTCATCACCCCAAACAGAAACTCTGGACCCGTTAAACAAACATTCTCCCCTCTCCAGCCTCCAGTCACCTCTGTTCTACTTCCTGTCTCTGTGGATCGGCTCGTCCTGGACATTTCCCAGAAATGGGATCACACACTGTGTGGCATTTTGTGTCTGGCTTCTGTCATTGAATGTGATGTCCTCAGCCTTCATCCACGCTGTGGCCTGTGTGGGAGCCTCGCTCCTTTTCTTTTTTTTGAGACAGAGTCTTGCCCTGTTGCCCAGGCTGGAGTGCAGTGGCGCAATCTTGGTTCACTATAAGCTCTGCCTCCCGGGTTCAAGCAATTCTCCTGCCTCAGCCTCCCAAGTAGCTGGGATTACAGGCATGTGCCACCATGCCGGCTCTTTTTTTTATATCTTTAGTAGAGACAGGTTTTCTCTTTTTTTTTGAGACGGAGCCTCACTCTGTCACCCAGGCTGGAGTGCAGTGGCACAATCTCGGCCCACTGCCAGTTCTGCCTCCTGGGTTCACACCATTCTCCTGCCTCAGCTTCCCAAGTAGCTGGGACTACTGGCGCCCACCACCATGCCCAGCTAATTTTTTTGTATTTTCCATAGAGACTGGGTTTCACCGTGTTAGCCAGGATGTTCTTGATCTCCTGACCTCGTGATCTACCTGCCTCGGCCTCCCAAAGTGCTGGGATTACAGACATGAGCCACCTCGCCCAGCCTTTTCATGGCTGAGTGATATTCCATTGTGTGGATGGATCACACTAGGTATATTTGTTCTTCTATTGATGGACATCTGGGTAGTTTCTACCTTTGGGCTGTTTGTTCTGTTGTGAGTCAGGCTGCTGTGACCATGGGTGTACAAGTATCTGTTTGCGTCCTTTTGTTGTTAATTCTTTGGGGCTTCTACCTAGGAGGGAGATTGCTGGTGATGTGATAAGTATCTCTCAGGCTTTTCAAGGAAGCACCAAACTGTTTTCTACCCCGAATGTAATTTACAATTTCCCAGCAATAGGCCAGGCACAGTGGCTCACGGTGACTCCATCTCAAAAAATAATAATTTTAAAAAGAAAGAAAGAAAGAAAACTTCCCAGCAACCACATTAAAAAAGAATACCAGGAAATTTAATGTTTTTCTTTTTCTTTTTTTTTTTTTTTTTTTTTTTGAGATGGAGTTTAGCTTTTGTTGTCCAAGCTGGAGTGCAGTGGCGCAATCTCAGCTCACTGCAACCCCCGCCTCCCGGGTTCAAGCAATTCTGCCTCAGCCTCCCGAGTAGCTGGGATTATAGGCATGTGCCAGCACCTGGCTAATTTTTTGTATTTTTAGTAGAAACAGGGTTTCGCCATGTTAGCCAGGCTGGCCTCGAACTCCTGACCTCAGGTGATCCACCCAATATTGCTGGTATTACAGACGTGAGGCACCACATCCGGCCAATTTAATTTTAATGATATATTTTATTTCACCCAATACATCCAAAGCGTTATTTCAATATGTAATTAATGTAGAAAATCATTAATGAGCTACTTCACATCCTTTCTTTCATACTAAGAAATAACAATCGTATGGAAATTTGACACCATAAGCACCTCTCTTTTTAGGCACTAAATTTTGGGTAGCAATGGTGACATGGTTTCTACCAAAACAATACTGTTGTGTTTGGTGGGAAAAAAAAATTTATTTAGGCCGGGTGTGGTGGCTCACACCTGTAATCCCAGCACTTTGGGAGGCCGAGGCAGGTGGATCATTTGAGGCCAGGAGTTCAAGACCAGTCTGACCAACATAGTGAAACCCTGTCTCTACTAAAAATACAAAAATTAGCCGGGCATGGTGGTACCCACCTGTCATCCCAGCTACTCAGGAGGCTGAGGGACAAGAATCACTTGAATCTGGGAGGCAGAGGTTGCAGTGAGCCAAGTCTCAAAAGTAAATTTAAAAAAAAAAAAAAAAAAAAAAAGGCTGGGCATGGTGGCTCACACCTGTAATCCCAGCACTTTGGGAGGCCCAGGCAGGCGGATCACGAGGTCAGATGGAGACTATCCTGGCTAACATGGTGAAACCCCATCTCTACTAAAAACAAAAAAAAATTAGCCGGGCATGGTAGCGGGCACCTGTAGTCCCAGCTACTTGGGAGGCTGAGGCAGGAGAATGGCATGAACCCGGGAGGTGGAGCTTGCAGTGAGCCGAGATCATGCCACTGCACTCTAGCCTGGGCGACAGAGGGAGACTCCGTCTAAAAAAAAAAAAATTAGCTGGGCATGGTGGCGCTTGCCTGTAATCCCAGCTCTTCTGGAGGCTGAGGTGGGAGGATCATTTGAACCTGGGAGGTTGAGGCTTCAGTAAGCTGAGATCATGCTACTGCACTCCAGCCTGGGTGACAGAGGAAGATGCTGTGTTATAAATTTATTATTGTTATTATTTGAGACAGAGTCTCATTCTGTCACCCAGGCTGGCGTTCAGTGGTGTGATCTCCGCTCATTTCAAGTGATTTTCCTGCCTCAGCCTCCCAAGTAGCTGGGATTACAGGCACCACCACCACATCCGGCTAATTTTTGTATTTTTTAGTAGAGACAGAGTCTTGCCATGTTGGCCAGGCTGGTCTTGAACTCCTGACCTCAGGTGATCTGCCCGCCTTGGCCTCCCAAAATGCTGGGATTACAGGCATGAGCCCTCACGCCTGGCCTATAAAATTTTTTTTAAATATGCTGTTCAGTTTTTAGATGTACATTTAAAACTGTAAACAGTCCACCCTGGCATCCAAGCCTCACCTCACCCATCACAAAGCATGGTTCGGGTTCCCTCCTCCTCCTCCGGTCGCCCTCTTAGCCTCTTTGAAGGTTTTTCTTCTCAGGCTTCCCAGACCCAGTGCCTACACTCTGAGGGCCCTGGGCTCCCTCCAGTTCCGTGCTGGGTGTCTCCAGAACAAGCGGGGTTCCATGTCTTCCCTGAAAGCCTGCTCCTCCCTGGGGCCCCAGGTCCCCCCACTCCCTGCCTGGTCAGCCCCTGCCTCTCCTGAGTCTTCACACCTGCCCATTCTCCCTCCTATCCTCCCCACCTCTCCCCAGCCTCAGCCTCTCCCCCAGGACGGGGACAGTGTGTCTGAGGGCCAGAGGGGTTAACTTTGAGTGTCTGTTGATTGAAAGACCAAGTGAATAGAAAATCAAGCCTAAACTGGAAGCCCTGAGCACTTCCTTTTCTTTGTCTGCAAACTGCTCAGGTGTCTCACCCCGCCAGGCTTTGGCACTGGCTCTTTCCTCATCCAACGGACACCCTTTCCCTCAACTCCTACCTTATCTGGAGAACTCTTATGTTACCTGCAAAACCTAATCCCATTGTACCCTTCCCTGTCAGAGTTATAAATTCAATCCTCAACTCAGGGGTACTGGGGGCATTTATGACAAGCTGTGTCATAAATTATAACAGCTTCTCTCAGGACACGTGGCCAGGAAGTGGGTGATCTTCCTTAATGACCCTCACTCCTCTCTCCTCTCTTCCCAGATACTCTGACCCATGGATCCCCTGGGCCCAGCCAAGCCACAGTGGCTGTGGCGCCGCTGTCTGGCCGGGCTGCTGTTTCAGCTGCTGGTGGCTGTGTGTTTCTTCTCCTACCTGCGTGTGTCCCGAGACGATGCCACTGGATCCCCTAGGCCAGGGCTTATGGCAGTGGAACCTGTCACCGGGGCTCCCAATGGGTCCCGCTGCCAGGACAGCATGGCGACCCCTGCCCACCCCACCCTACTGATCCTGCTGTGGACGTGGCCTTTTAACACACCCGTGGCTCTGCCCCGCTGCTCAGAGATGGTGCCCGGCGCGGCCGACTGCAACATCACTGCCGACTCCAGTGTGTACCCACAGGCAGACGCGGTCATCGTGCACCACTGGGATATCATGTACAACCCCAGTGCCAACCTCCCGCCCCCCACCAGGCCGCAGGGGCAGCGCTGGATCTGGTTCAGCATGGAGTCCCCCAGCAACTGCCGGCACCTGGAAGCCCTGGACGGATACTTCAATCTCACCATGTCCTACCGCAGCGACTCCGACATCTTCACGCCCTATGGCTGGCTGGAGCCGTGGTCCGGCCAGCCTGCCCACCCACCGCTCAACCTCTCGGCCAAGACCGAGCTGGTGGCCTGGGCGGTGTCCAACTGGAAGCCGGACTCGGCCAGGGTGCGCTACTACCAGAGCCTGCAGGCTCATCTCAAGGTGGACGTGTACGGACGCTCCCACAAGCCCCTGCCCAAGGGGACCATGATGGAGACGCTGTCCCGGTACAAGTTCTATCTGGCCTTCGAGAACTCCTTGCACCCCGACTACATCACCGAGAAGCTGTGGAGGAACGCCCTGGAGGCCTGGGCCGTGCCCGTGGTGCTGGGCCCCAGCAGAAGCAACTACGAGAGGTTCCTGCCACCCGACGCCTTCATCCACGTGGATGACTTCCAGAGCCCCAAGGACCTGGCCCGGTACCTGCAGGAGCTGGACAAGGACCACGCCCGCTACCTGAGCTACTTTCGCTGGCGGGAGACGCTGCGGCCTCGCTCCTTCAGCTGGGCACTGGCTTTCTGCAAGGCCTGCTGGAAGCTGCAGCAGGAATCCAGGTACCAGACGGTGCGCAGCATAGCGGCTTGGTTCACCTGAGAGGCCGGCATGGGGCCTGGGCTGCCAGGACCTCACTTTCCCAGGGCCTCACCTACCTAGGGTCTCACTAGTCGGGGGATTTACCTACCTGGGGCCTCGGCTGCCTGGGGTCTCACCTGCCTGGGGCCTCACCTGCTGGAGTCTTTGGTGGCCAGGCATGTGACTTACCTGGGATTTCACTTGCCGGGCTTCACTGCCAGGAGCCTCCCCTGCTGGGGACCTTGCCAGCTGGGGCTGGGGATGGTGCCTACTGGGGACCTTGCTTTCTGGAGGCTGCACCTACTGAGGATCTCGGCTGTTGGGGACTTTACCTGCTGGGACCTGCTCCCAGAGACCTTGCCACACTGAATGTCACCTGCTAGGAGCCTCACCCGCTGGGAGGCACAGGGCCCAAGGGAGCTGGATGTGTTGCCCAAGGTGTGCAGGGCAGGTCAGGGAAGGGCAGGGTCCCCTAAGGAGGAGGGCGAAGGGTATGTGTGTGACCATCAGCAGTGGTGTGCACATGGCTGGGGGACACTCGGTGTGACCGCCAGCGGATGGGTGTCACAAATGCATCACTGTGGGTGTGACCTCGGCGTGACTCTGATAGTGCCTGTGGATGTGTTGCGATGCCTCACCCTGGAGGGCACTGGGCCCTGAGAACGGGTGCCCTTGAGGCCCTGCCCCCGGGCGATGGTGCAGGCTGGTTTGCTTGTGGTTTTATTGCTGTTGTTAACCACCCATGAGGGGTGCAAACAGATAATGCTGTTAACATTTTCAGGCGAGAATGCTTCAAGGAAAGCTCCTGTGTCCCCCCTCACTCTAGAACAGTGGTTCTCACGCAGGGCGATTCTGTCCCCAAGGGCACTTGGCAATGTCTGGAGACATTTTCAGTTGTCACAACCAGGGGAGGAGGATGAGGTCACCTAGTGGGTAGAGGCCAGGGTTACTCCAAACCCCCTACAATGCACAAGTCGGGGCCCTTACAACCAACAATGATGGTTCCAAATGTCCAGGGGCAGAAAACCCTGTTCTAGAACTTTCTATGACCCTGGAGGTCAAGCCTCTTGGGGGAGGCGTTCAGATCCCTCGGGGGTCCTCTCCTTCAGCTGGCTCCCTGGGGTGGGCTCTGGCACCCACCCAGAAGTGAAAGTCTTTTTTCTGAAGGTCTCAGGTCAAGAACTCCAAAGTCAGGCAAGCCCTGCATAGAGCCCTGCTCCATGACTTAGGGGCTGCAGGTGGTTTCTGACTGTAAATGAGGATGTCCAGAATATTCCAGAACATTCTGGAACATTCTGGCCTTGGGGGAAATTGCTGCTCTCTGGAGAATGCCAAGGGGAACCTGGTGGTGGAAGGTGGTAGTGAATTCCAGGTGCTCTCTGAGCCTCAATCTCCCCATTTGCACAGTGGACATGCAGGCTCTGAGGGCTGAGGAGTGGGGCCCACGCTCTCCAGGAGTGAAGGTGGGCAGGGCTGGGATAAAGGGACCCTCTCTGCCCAGGGTACGGGGTCCAGGGGAGCTGGATGTGTTGCCCAAGGTGTGCAGGGCAGGTCAGGGAAGGGCAGGGTCCCCTAAGGAGGAGGGCAAAGGGTATGTGTGTGACCGTCAGCAGTGGTGTGCACTTGGCTGGGGGACACTCGGTGTGACCGCCAGCGGGTGGGTGTCACCAACGCATCACTGTGGCTGTGACCTCAGCGTGACTCTGATAGTGCCTGCAGATGTGTCTCGATGCCTGCCTGTGGCTCTATGTGGGTGCTCGTAGGTGGCGGTGATTGTGAGTGTGAGACGGAATGTGTGGCCTGGGAGTGAGGCTTTGAGTGTTGGACGGAGCAGCGGCCCCTCTGAGTGTGCTGGGCTCTCCAAGTCTGTGTGTGTCTCTGTGTAACTGCGCAAGGCTGTGTCTGCATGGACCTGTGTCCTTGGGTGTGGTGAAGTGGGCTGTGTGGGGACACATGTGGGACTCTTAAGCTGTGTCTGCAAGTGGCTGTGACCGTGTGTGTGGCCTTGTGGATGGGCAGGGAGAGGTGGGCTTCTTAAAAGTATTACAGGAGGGGAAACTGAGGCCCACAGAGGGCCAGGGACCCAGGCCAAACATTCCTCCCTGCAGGGGGGTACGCAGAGACCCTGCGGGGGTGGTGGGAGGATCAGCATGACCTCAGCCTCCTGAAGAAGGTGCCGGCAGTGGCTCCACTCTGTAGAGGAGGTGGCTGATGCCCAGAGAAGTTGAGGAACTCACCCAAGGCCACACAGCTGCCAGAGGCGAAAGTCGGTTTTCTGAAGATCTCAGGTCAAGAACTCCAAAATCTGGCAAGCCCTGCATAGAGCCCTGCTCCACCACTTAGGGGCTGCAGGTGGCTTCTGACTGTAAATGAGGACGTCTGGAACATTCCAGAACATTCTGGAACATTCTGGGCTTGGGGGAAATTGCTGCTCTCTGGAGAATGCCATGGGGGACCTGGTGGTGGAGGGTGGTGGTGACTCCCCGGTGCTATCTGAGCCTCACTTTCCCCATCTGCACAGTGGACATGCCTCAGAGGTGCCTGTGATGGCTCCCCCAGGCCCAGGTGGGAGGGTGGAGGGGCATAGGGTGGGGAAGGTGTGAGGGGACTGGAGAGTCTCTGTCAAACCCCCTTGTGACTCCGGGCCTGAGCCAGCCTCGATGGGCCCATCACTCACCTGCCACCCACACCACACACCTGGGCCCCTCTCTCCACTGCCTGGCTGCAAGTCAGGGGTCCCAGGAGGGGATCAGGGGCTCACGGGAGGCCAGGCCAGGTCTTCCTAACAGGGTGGTGTGGGGCCAGTCCGCTGGGGGTAAGGAGTTGGAGTGGGGACAGGCTGCTCTGTCCCCTGACGCCCCTGGAGCCCCCATGGTCTCCGCCTCTACCTGAGCTGATGTCAGAGTGAACAGCTCCCTTTCCCAACTTCTCTTTCTCTCCCTCTGGAATTTCCTCTGAGACTTAGAGGGACATGGAAACCCTCCTTGGGTCCCACAAGGGCAGAGGCCCAGCCACCTGGCCAACGTTGGGGGACCCTGGCCTGCCCACTCTGGAACCCCAGGATGGCTCCCAACCCCCATTGCCTCCCTGTATGCCCCGGATCTCACATGTGGTTCATGGCGCACCCAGCTCAGCCCGTGGGGCCTTCTCCCTCCTTCTGAGCGGCAGCTGCCCTTGGCTCCCAGCCCTGGGCCCCAGGGGGAGAAAAATTTCCAGCAGGCTGGCAGCTGCTCCATCACCCACCCAGCCCAGGCTGAGGGAGGAGCTGGGGGGTCTGATGAGGGCAGAGACCCCAACGAGGAGGTCCTCGTGATCCCCCAATCTGGGCTCTGGGCTCAGCTGTTTGACAGGGAGACCTCACCTGGCACTAGCCTGATGAGCCCTGCTCAGAGAGGGCCAGGGAATCTCTCAGGTCACACAGCAATTTCAAGATAAGCACACACTGTCTCTGGCAATTCGCCGCAGCTCCTCTTCCAGATCTCAGTGGCTGGAGGCTAGTCCAGTTGTGGATCTGATGGCCAAGGGGCCTGGGTTGCAATCCCAATCCCCACCCGCAGCCCTCCCAACTCCTGGCTACATGAACAAGGTGGACTGGGGTTGGATGTTACAGGAGGAGGGAACCAGTTCAAAGGACACAAGAAGTGATTCAGGGTGAGGGCCAATCAGATGTGGGCCGTGAGCTGCCAGGGCGGATCTTGGGGACAGGGCAGGGGCTCCATGGGTGACAGTGCCAGTGCGGTAATGACCACATTTGAGTGGGGTGGGGTGACCTCACCAGGAATCTGTCTTCTGCCCTGCTCTGTCAAAAGGAGCATGTGGCCGGGCACGGTGGCTCATACCTGTAATCCCAGCACTTTGGAAGGCTGAGGTGGGCGGATCACTTGAGGTCAGGAGTTTGAGACCAGCCTGACCAACATGGAGAAACTCCGTGTCTACTAAAATTACAAAAATTAGCCGGACGTGGTGGCATGTGCCTGTAGTCCCAGCTCCTTGGGGGGCTGAGGCAGGAGGATCACTTGAACCTGGGAGGCAGAGATTGCAGTGAGCTGAGACTGGGCGACGGCACTCCAACAGTGCGAGACTCTGTCTCAAAAAAAAAAAAAAAAGCATGGGATTCATTTCCAGTCCCTGTAGAGGGACAGGACACGCAAGAAAGGGCAGATGTGGCCAAATTGACCACGATTCCTTAATGACCCAATAAAGTAGGCCGGGCGCAGTGGCTCACGCCTGTAATCCCAGCACTTTGGAAGGCCAAGGCGGATGGATCACGAGGTCAGGAGATGGAGACCATCCTGGCTAACACGGTGAAACCCCGTCTCTATTACAAAAAAATACAAAAAATTAGCCAGGTGTGGTGGCGGGCGCCTGTAGTCCCAGCTACTTGGGAGGCTGAGGCAGGAGAATGGCGTGATCCCGGGAGACGGAGCTTGCAGTGAGCCAAGATCGTGCCACTGCACTCCAGCCTGGGCGACAGAGCAAAACTGTCTCAAAAAAAAAAAAAAAAAAATGACCCAAGAAAGCATTTACCAACCTCTACTTTCTTGCTGTTGGGGCTTAGGCAGAGTCTGGCCTCAGGTGTGATTGGAGCTCAGCCTGGAGTGTGGACTTGGCCCCCATTGCCATTGCCTGAGGCAGGAGGAGCACCATTGCCTCAGCCAGCCCAGCCTCCCATTGCCTGGTGATCACAACTGTGGAATGGGCAGAGTCCTGTGGCCCTCCGCTAGAGACCTACCCTCGGGTTTCTCACTCCAGCTTCCCTCATCTCTTGCTCTTCTAGGTTTTCTGTCCTCACGAGGCTGCCAGCCCAGCAGGGGAAAGAAGGGACACAGTGTGGCCTGAGCTAGGACAGGGGAGACAGAGGCAGTTGCAGGAGCCAGTGGAAGGAATTGATCTGGCTGGAAGAGGGCCGCTATCTGTGGAGGCTTCCTAGGGGAGCTGTCTGCACCTAAGCCCTGAAGAACGGGAACTAGGCAGGAGGCAGGGGGCAGAGAGCGCAGTTGTCCAGCTGGAGACAGCCTGCTACCTTGGAAACTCCAAGTGACTCAGCAATGATCACCCTCTCTCAGGACCTGTCTTCACATCCACAGGACAGCTGTGTGGGGCGGAAGCCTTGCCCATCCGGGCTTGGCTGGGGCTCCACTCTCGGAGGCATGTGAACCAGAGCAACTCCATCTTGAATAGGAGCTGGGTAAAATGAGGCTGAGACCCACTGGGCTGAATTCCCAGGTGGTTAAGTCATTCTAAGTCACAGGATGAGACAGGAGGTCGGCGCAAGATACAGGTCATAAAGCCCTTGGTGGTAAAACAGGTTGCAGTCGAGAAGCCGGTGAAAGCCCACCCAAACCAAGATGGCGATGAGAGTGACCTCAGGGCATCCTCAAAGCCCACCCAAACCAAGATGGCGATGAGAGTGACCTCAGGGCATCCTCAAAGCCCACCCAAACCAAGATGGTGATGAGAGTGACCTCAGGGCATCCTCAAAGCCTACCCAAACCAAGATGGTGATGAGAGTGACCTCAGGGCATCCTCACTGCCACACTCCCAGCAGCACCAGGACAGTTTACAGATGCCATGGCAACATCAGGAAGTTACCCTATGTGGTCTAAAAAGGGGAGGCATGAGTAATCTCCCCGTTGTTTAGCATATCATCAAGAAATAACCAGCTGGGCACGGTGGTTCAGGCCAGGTGTGGTTGCTCACTCCTGTAATTCCAGCACTTTGGGAAGCCAAGGTGGGTGGATTACCTGAGGTCAGGAGTTCGAGACCAGCCTGGCCAACATGGTGAAACCCCATCTCTACTAAAAATACAAAAATTAGCTGGGCGAGGTGGCGCACGCCTGTAGTCCCAGCTACTCAGGAGTCTGAGGCACGAGAATCGCTTCAACCCAGGAGGTGGAGGTTGCAGTGAGCTGAGATCCTACCACTGCACTCCAGCCAGCCTGGGCGATAGAGTGAGACTCCGTCTCAAAAAAAGAAAAAAAGAAATAACCATAAACGGGCAACCAGCGGCCCTCAGGGCTACTCTATGGAGTAGCCATTCTTTTATTCCTTTACTTTCCTAATAAACTTGCTTTCACTTTACTCTAGGGACTAGCCCTGAATTGTTTCTTACGTGAGATCCCAGAACCCTCTCTTGGGGTCTGATTGGAACCCCTTTCCTCTAACACCAGGACAAAGTGATACCAAGACTGATAACCCCACAAGTTGTTTTAATCAGTCACAGAGAATGCCCCCAGCGAGGACATGAGCAGAGAGCAGACTTAGGTCACCCCTTCTGGAAATGGCCTGCCTGGGAGACTCCAGTCCCTGGCCCAGCCCTGTCCCCTCAATCTTCCCCACTGTCTTGGGCCTGGCTGGGCACTGAGATGGTGGAACCCCAGGCAGCGTGAAGCAGCCTCCTGGAAATGATTTCTAGAACAGGGAAGACATCATACATGGAGGCTGGACCTTAGATTCGGTCGCCCCTGCACCCAGTTTGGGACTGACAGAGTTGAAGGCCATCCTGTCTCAAGGACAGCCTTCCAGATCATTTCTCTTCTCCATTCCAGGAAGCTTATCTGGCTCCCTGGACTTCTCCTGTGATTTACAGGAGAGGGTGGGGAAAGGGAGGGCTTTTGTTTTTTGTTTTGTTTTGTTTTTGTGAGACGGAGTCTTGCTCTGTCTCCCAGGCTAGAGTGCAGTGGTGCAATCTTGGCTCACTACAACCCCCGCCTCCCGGTCTCAAGTGATTCTCCTGTCTTAGCCTCCCAAGTAGCTGGAATTACAGGTTCCTGCTACCGCACCTGGCTAATTTTTGTATTTTTTTTTTTTTTTTTTTTTGGTGGGGATGGGGTTTCACCATGTTGGCCAGGCTGGTCTCGAACTCTTGACCTCATGATCCACCCGCCTCGGCCTCTCAAAGTGCTGGGATTACAGGCGTGAGCCACCGTGCCCGGCCAAAGGAGTGCTTTCGAGGCACACAGAGGGCCTTGGTGAGGCCACCGCTCTGGGGCAGAGGACCCTCACCGCTTGCCAGGACACCTGAAAACAGCCTCCTCTTCCTCCCCGCTCTCCTCTGCTCTGTCCCGATGGCCTGTGCCCAGCATGTCCTGATAAAGCATCTCAAACCACATATTAATATGGTAACCTGGCTGGGTGCGGTGGCTCACGCTTGTAATCCCAGGGATTTGGGAGATTGAGGTGGGAGGATCACTTGAAGCCAGGAGTTCGAGACCAGCCTGGCCAACATGGTGAAACCCCATCTCTACTAAAAATACAAAAATTAGCCAGGCGTGGTTGCATGTGCCTGTAGTCCCAGCTACTCAAGAGGCTGAGGCAGGAGAATCGCTTGAACCCAGGAGGCGGAGGAGCCAATATTGCACCACTGTACTCTAGCCTGGAAGACAGAGCAAGACTCCATCTCAAAAAAAAAAAATTAAAAATTAACGTGGTGGTGCACGCCTGTACTGCTAGCAACCAGGGAGGCTAAGGCAGGAGGATCATTTGAGCCCAGGAGTTAGAGGCTGCAGTGAGCTATGATCGCCACACTGAACTGTAGCCTGGATGAGAGTGAGACCTTGTCTCAAAAAAAAAAAAAAAAAAGAAAAATGGCCGAGCGCAGTGGCTCACGCCTGTAATCCCAGTGCTTTGGGAGGCTGAGGCGGGCAGATTGCTTGAGCTCAGGAGTTTGAAACCAGCCTGGGCAACATAGCGAGACCTCGTCTCTACAAAAAATAAACCATATTAGCCAGGCATAGTGGCACATGGCTGTAGCCCTAGCTACTCGGGAGCCTGAGGCAGGAGGATCGCTTGAGCCTGGGAGGTGGAGGCTGCAGCGAGTCGTGGTCATGCCATTGCAGTTCCAGCCTGGGCGACAGAGTGAGATTCTGTGTCAAAAAAAAAAAAAAAGCAACCCCACTGCTTGAAGCTTTGCACGGCTTCCTATCACCCTGGTGCTAAACATGCCACCATTGACCATGGCTGGATGTGGCTCAGCCCCAGAAGCAGCACTGTCTCATCTTCCGCTTGTGAAGACCCAGCCTAGAGTTTCCTTCAGCTCCTCTAATGCGCCTGGACCTCTGCTTTGCACAGATTCTTTTTTTTTGAGACAGCGTCTCTGTCACCCAGGCTGGATGGCAGTGGCATGATCTCGGCTCACTGCAATCTCCTCCTCCTGGATTCAAGCGATTCTCTTGCCTCAGCCTACTGAGTAGCTGGGATTACAGGTGCCCACCACTGCGCCCGGCTAATTTTTGTATTTTTAGTAGAGACAGGGTTTCACCATGTTGGCCAGGCTGGTCTCAAACTCCTGACTACAGGTGATCCACCCGCCTCAGCCTCCCAAAATGTCATGCGTGTCTGTGTGAAGAGACCACCAAACAGGCTTCATGTGAACAATAAAGCTTTTTAATCACCTGGGTGCAGGCGGGCTGAGTCCGAAAAAGGAGTCAGCAAAGGGAGATAGGGGGTGGGTCAGTTTTTACAGGATTTAGGTAGGTAGTGGAAAGTTACAGTTAAAGATGGTTATCTCTTGCGGGCAGGGGCAGGGGTCACAAGGTGCTGGGTAGGGAGATCATGAGACTCATTGTCCAGGAGAAGAAATGTCACAAAGTTAATTGATCAGTAAAGGTGGGACAGGAACAAATCACAATGGTGGAATGACATCAGTTAAGGCAGGAACTGGCTATTTTCACTTCTCTTGTGGTTCTTCAGCTGCTTCAGGCCATCTGGATGTATACATGCAGGTCACGGGGGATATACAATGGCTTAGCCTGGGCTCAGAGGCCTGACACCAAGTGCTGAGATTACAATCGTGAGCCACCGCGCCTGGAGCACAGATTCTTTTCTCTACGTGGAATGCTCTTCTCTTCCCTTTTGACTTACAGAACTCCTACGGGGCTTCAGCTCCCAGCTCAAACCTCCAGGAAGCCCAGACCACGTGACAGCCACCTTCATATTCTGCAAACATTGTGTCACGCACGTCGGTGCGAAGAAAGTCACCAAACAGGCTGTGTGTGAGCAATAAAGCTTTTTAATCACCTGGGTGCAGGCGGGCTGAGTCCGAAAAGAGAGTTAGCAAAGGGTGGTGGGATTATCATTAGTTCTTATAGGGTTGGGATAGGCGGTGGAGTTAGGAGGAATTTTTTGCGGGCAGGGGTTGGATCTTACGAAGTACATTCTCATGGGCGGGGAGAATATTACAAAGTACCTTCTTAAGGGCAGGGGGAGGATATTACAAAGTACCTTCTTAAGGGCAGGGAGGGTGTATTGTCACAAAGTCAATTGATCAATTAGGGTGAGGCAGGAACCAATCACAATGGTGGGATGTCATCAGTTAAGGCAGGAACTGGCTATTTTCACTTCTTTTGTGGAAAAATACTGGCCCTCTGGAGCGGGGGCTGGAATATTGGCAGGTGTGGAGGCATTGGCTATTTCTTTTGCTGTCCTGTCGACATAGGCATTTCCTTTTGCAATAAGATCAGTAGGTTTCTGGTGTCCTTTACAATGAATGACTGCAGCCATGGCCGGCGGGAGAGCAACCTTAAGGAGGGCCTTTATTAGGGAGACATTGATCATGGAAGAGCCTTGTGTGGTAAGGAAGCCTCTTTCAGCCCAGAGGGCAGCATGGTTATGGAGGATGTGGAAAGCATATTGGAGTCAGTGTAAATGTTAATGTGCATTCTGTTAGCAAGAGAGAGCGCACGAGTTAAAGCAATTAGTTTGGCTTGTTGGGAAGTGGTGGAGGGAGGAAGTGCAGCAGCTTCGATAATAAAGGTGTGGGACAAGACATCATATCCAGCTTTAGCTGGTGAAAATTGATTGGGTTTAGAAGCACTGCCATCGATAAACCAAGTGTGGCCTGGGTTTGGAATTGGAAGAATAGAAATCTGAGGAAAGGGGGAAGATGCTATGTGTATTAGGGAAACACAGTCATGTGGTTCAGGACTTGTGTTGGGTGTTAAGTGAGAAGCTGGGTTGAAATCGGGCCCATAGGCAATAGTTACTGTTGGGGTTTCAGTAAACAGTGAACAGAGCTGGAGGAGTCGAGGGGCAGACAGTAGGTGTGAAAGGTGTGAGGAGGATATTAACGCTTGAAGGTTGTGAGAACTGTAGAGGGCAAGTGGAGCCTGGCCTGTGATTTTGAGGGCTTCCAGAAGTATTAAAGTGGTGGCTGCTGCCACATGTAGACATGAGGGCCAGCCTAAAACAGTAAGGTCAGGTCGTTTGGATAGAAAGGCTGCAGGGCACAGTCTTGGCTCTTGTATAAGAATTCTGACCACACAGCCCAGCACTTCGGCTGTGTGTAAGGAAAAAGGGTTGGGCTAAGTCAGGGAGAGCTAGTGTGGGAGCAGTCTCTATAGCTGTTTTCAAGGAACGGAAAGAGGAGTGGGGAAAGGATTTAGGATCTATGGGATCAGCTAGATTTCCCTTTGTGAGTTTATATAATGGTTTTGTTAGGATGGCAAAACCAGGTATCCAAAGGCAAAAGTACCCAACCATGCCCAGGAAGGAAAGAGTTTTTGCTTTGTAGGAGGGGTTGGGGTTTGAGAGATCAGCCGGAGATGATCGGCAGGGAGAACACGTGTGTTTTCATGAAGAATTATGCTGAGGTAGGTAACGGATGAGGAAGAAATCAGGGCTTTGGAGGGGGATACGCAATATCCCTTTAAGAATAGATGTTGGAGGAGCAGGAGGGTGTCCTGTTGGGAAGATTTGCAGGAGGGGCTATAAAGTAGAAGGTCATCAAAATATTGAATAAGGTGAGAAGCAAAGGGGTGGAAAGAAAGTAAATCATGAGAAAGAGCTTGGCTGAAGTAATGAGGGCTGTCTCTGAAGCCTTGTGGCAGTACAGCCCAGGTAAGCTGCTGGGACTGATGGGTGTCAGGGTCAGCCCAGGTAAAAGCAAAAAGAGGCTGGGATGAGGGGTGCAGGGGAATGGTGAAAAAAGCATCTTTAAGATCAAGAACTGAATAGTGAGTTGTGTAGGAAGGTATTGAGGACAAAAGAGTGTACGGGTTGGTCCCCACAGGGTGGATAGGAAAAACAATTTTGTTGATAAGGTGCAGATCCTGAACTAACCTGTAAGACTTGACCAGTTTTTGGACAGGTAAAATGGGGGAATTGTAAGGAGAGTTTATAGGCTTTAGAAGCCCATGCTGTAGCAGGCGAGGGATAATAGGCTTTAGTTCCCTTAAAGCCTGTTGTGGGATGGGATACTGGCATTGAGCGGGGTAAGGGTGATTAGGTTTTAATGGGATAGTAACGGGCGTGTGATTGGTTGCCGGGGAGGGAGTAGGGGTGTCCCCTCCCTGTGGGTGAAGGTGGGAGGGATACAAGAGGAAGACACGAAGGACGCTTTGGTTTGGGAAGAAGGGCGGCAATGAGATGTGGCTATAGTCCAGGAATGGTCAGGGAAGAAGACAATTTGGTTAAAATGTCTCGGCCTAATAACAGAACTGGGCAGGTGGGGATAACTAAGAAAGAGTGCATAAATGAATGTTGTCCAAGTTGGCACCAGAGTGGGGGAGTTTTAAGGGGTTTTGAATCTTGGCTGTCAATACCCACAACAGTTATGGGGGCAAGGGAAACAGGCCCTTGAAAGAAAGGTAATGTGGGCTGGGTGTGGTATCTCACGCCTGTAATCCCAGCACTTTGGGAGGCCGAGGCGGGCAGATCACCTGAGGTCAGGAGTTCGAGACCAGCCTGGCCAACAAGGTGAAACCCCATCTCTACTAAAAATACAAAAATTAGCCGGGTGTGGTGGCGGGCATCTGTAATCCCAGCTACTCGAGAGGCTGAGGCAGGAGAATCCCTTGAACCCGGGAGGTGGAGGTTGCAGTGAGCCGAGATTGCTCCGTTGCACTCCAGCCTGGGTGACAGAGAGAGACTCTGTCTCAAAAAAAAAAGAAAGGTAATGTGGATGGGTAGCTCCCATATCAATTAAACAGGGGATGGCCTTACCCTCCACTGTGAGAGTTACCCGAAGCTCGGCGTCCATGATGGTCCAGGGGGCTTCCGAGGCGACCAGGCAGCATCAGTCTTCAGCCGCTAAGCTGAGAAGATCTGAAAAGGAGTCAGTCAGAGAGCCTGGGGCCAGAGTTCCAGGGGCTCTGGGAGTGGCTGCCAGGCTAGTTGGACGGTCTGATTTCCAGTGGGGTCCTGCACAGATGGGACACGGCTTAGGAGGAATCCCAGGCTGCGGGCATTCCTTGGCCCAGTGGCCAGATTTCCGGCACTTGAAGCAAGATCCTGGGGCAGGAGGTCCTGGAGGAATGCCTGGCAGATGTGGTTTAGGCGTTTTGAAGTTCTCATGTTCTGGAGATGTGGCTGGCGTTTCTCTCTCAGCGGAGGCAAGTAATTACAACTCAGAAATACGTTGCCACTTGGCTGTATCTTTTTTATTATTGTATACCTTGAAGGCAAGGTTAATTAAGTCCTGTTGTGGGGTTCGAGGGCTGGAATCTAATTTTTGGAGTTTTTTCTAATGTTAGGAGCGGATTGAGTGATAAACTGCATATTGAGAATAAGACGGTCTTCTGGTCCCTCTGGGTCTAGGGTGGTAAAGCATCTCAGGGTTGTTGCCAAATGGGCCATGAACTGGGCCGGGTTTTTATATTTGATGGAAAAGAGCCTAAATGCTAACTGATTTGAGAGAGGTCAGCTAAAGAAAAAGGAGCATTAACCTTGCCTATGCCTTCAGCTCCAGCCACCTCTCTAAGAGGAAATTGTTGGGCAGGTGGGGGAGGGCTGTGTCACGGAACGAAACTGTAAGCCAGACCGGGTGTGAGGAGGGGAGGTGATAGAAGGATTATAGGGTGGGGGAGCGGAGGTTGAGGAAGAATTGGGACCTGGCTCTGCCTGGCAAGGAGCAGCCTGGGGAGGAGGGGAGAGGTCAGATGGGTTCGTAGAAAAGGAGGATTCAAAGGACTCAGAGCTTGGGGTGCAGACTGAAGGAACAGACAGGAGAGAAAGAAGAAAGATTTGGGACGAGTCGCATTGGGAGCAGAGACTAGGGAGGGACCAGTGTGTAAAAGAATGCCTGGACGCGGCCGGGCGCGGCGGCTCACGCCTGTAATCCCAGCACTTTGGGAGGCCAAGGTGGGCGGATCACGAGGTCAGGAGATCGAGACCATCCTGGCTAACACGGTGAAACCCCATCTCTACTAAAAATAAAAAAAATTAGCTGGGCATGGTGGCGGGCGCCTGTAGTCCCAGCTACTCAGGAGGCTAAGGTAGGAAAATGGCGTGAACCCGGGAGGCGGAGCTTGCAGTGAGCCGAGATCGCGCCACTGCACTCCAGCCTGGGTGACAGAGCGAGACTCCGTCTCAAAAAAAAAAAAAGAATGCCTGGACGTCAGGCACCTCGGACCATTTGCCCATGTTTCAACAAAAATCATCTAGGTCTTGTAAATTGGAGAAATCAAAAGTGCCGTTTTCTGGCAATTTGGAACCGTTGTCGAGTTTGTATTGGGGCCTAGCAGTATTGCAAAATAAGGCAGTTAGGTTTTTAGGTCAGGTGTTAGTTGAACAGGTTTTAAGTTCTTGAGAACACAGGCTAAGGGAGAAGGGGGAATGGAGGGCGGAAGGTTGCCCGTAGAAAGGTAGAGACACGGAGAAGTGGGGCTGTGGGGGGTGAGCAGCCAAAGCAGGTGTCCCCGCAATTGACTTGCCACCAAGGGAATGTGGGTGAATGAGCAAGGCAGGCGTCCCCCGCGGTGATCAGACACCAATGGAATGTGGGTGAATGATCAGGGCAGGCGTCCCTGCAGTGATTAAACACCAAGGGAAGACCGTCTTTCCAAGTCCGTGACCAGCGCCGGAGTTTTGGGTTCACGGATAAAATGTGTCTCCTTTGTCTCTACTACAGAGGAAAAATAACTGGAATTGGAAGGACAGGGAGATTGAAGCGTAGCGAGAGAGGCTGGAGAAGAGAGTGAAAAGACTGCTTACCCCATTTGAAATTGGTGAGATGTTCCTTCGGCTGGTTGGTCTGAGGACCTGAGGTTGCAGGTGGATCTCCTCACGGAGTGAGGGCGAGGACAGGAGACCGGTCTCCCAAAGGAGTCCTCCTGTCCTGGGTCTTCGGCACCAAATGTCACACTCGCCCGTGTGAAGAGAGTCTACCAAACAGGCTTCGTGTGAGCAATAAAGCTTTTTAATCACCTGGGTGCAGGCGGGCTGAGTCCGAAAAGAGAGTTAGCAAAGGGTGGTGGGATTATCATTAGTTCTTATAGGTTTGGGATAGGCAGTGGAGTTAGGAGCAATTTTTTGCGGGCAGGTGGTAGATCTTACAAAGTACATTCTCAAGGGTGAGGAGAATATTACAAAGTATCTTCTTAAGGGCTGGAGGGGGAGAATATTACAAAGTGCCTTCTTAAGGGCAGGGAGGAGGATATTACAAAGCACCTTCTCAAGGGTGACGAGGGTATATTGTACAAAGTATGTTCACAAGGGCGGGGGAATATCACAAAGTACATTATTGCAAGGGGGTGGTGTATTGTCACAAAGTCAATTGATCAGTTAGGGTGAGGCAGGAACAAATCGCAATGGTGGAATGTCATCAGTTAAGGCAGGAACTGGCTATTTTCACTTTTTTTCTGGATCTTCAGTTGCTTCAGGCCATCTGGATGTACACGTGCAGGTCACAGGGGAGATGGTGGCTTAGCTTGGGCTCAGAGGCCTGAAGAATTGTTCCCTTACAAAAGTCATGTATTGTCTGATTCACCCACTTGCTCCCTGCACTCTCCCTGGGTCTGGTATGCAATAGGTGCATAAGCAATGTTTGTTGATTGACTGACTGAATGGGTGGGATGGTTAAAATTCTGCTCACTTCCCTCCCTTTACCATCTCCCGAGAAACCCATGGGGCCCCCGTGGGACCCACTTTGAGAATCAAAGCTTTAGACCAGCGTTTTCACTTTATGGATGGACCAGCTGTGCACCCAAAGCCAGGCAGCCTTCAGGCTACAGATGGAGCCCGGGTCACGTCCCGGGCCTCCAAGTTCCTGCACCCTTATCCGGTCTCACAGGCGAGATTAGGACACCCCGGAAACTGGCTTCCAGACAATATCCCTGCTGCAGGGGAGAACACCCTAGGTCACCTGGTGACAGGTGTGTGCTGCAATGTACACGTACTTGTTCCTCCTCTTCTCTGTTCCCACTTCCTCCCCGCCCCAGGAAACCTGCCATGGCCTCCTGGTGAGCTGTCCTCATCCACTGCTCGCTGCCTCTCCAGGTAAGTTATCCCATTCTACCTTTTCCCCCCACCCAGAATGCCTGGGAGACCTCCCAGGAAAGGCTTCCTGGCTCCGTCCCTCCTCCCCTCGGCCCCCATCCTATGGGCCCTGATTCATGATGTGGCTGGGCTGGCACAAAATCCCGGTGGAGAGTCACCAAACTGTCCATGACCTGGAATGTGGCCAGCACCCCCTAGTCACAGGCAGGGGTCTTTCTGGGTGTGGCATGCACCACCGTTGGGGAGGACATGGAAGGTTCTGGGTGATTTGCCAAACCGGAAGGAAAGAGTGACGTTTGTCTCTCTCTCTGGCAGAGCTCTGGAGTGGAGTCCCCTCTGCACCCCAACCCCATCAACAGCCTCCCCCCACTCATCTTTTCTGGCCTTGGATTCTCTCTGGCCCTGCCCTGCCTGGGGTGGACTTAAGATGCATTTTTTTTTTCTTTTTCTTTGAGACAGAATCTTGGTCTGTTGCCCAGGCTGGAGTGCAGTGATGCAATCATGGCTCACTGCAGCCTCAGACTCCTGGGCTCGAGTGACCCTCCTGCCTCAGGCTCTGGAGTAGCTGGGACTACAGGTGTGTGCCACCTCACCTGGATACTTTTTAATTTTTTTTTCTTTTGTAGAGATGGGGTCTCACTATGTTGCTCAGGCAGGACTTTTTTTTTTTTTTTTTTTTTTTTTTTTTGAGACAGAGTCTTGCTGTGTCGCCCAGGCTGGGGTACAGTGGCATGATCTCGGCTTATTGCAACCTCTGCCTCCCTCGTTCAAGCAATTCTTGTGCCTCAGCCTCCTGAGTAGCTGGGATTAAGGTGCCTGCCACCACACCTGGCTAATTTTTTATTTTTAGTAGAGACAAGATTTCACCATGTTGCCAAGGGTGGTCTCAAACTCTTGACCTCAGGTGACCTGCCCACCTCAGCCTCCGCAAGTACTGGCATTACAGCCATGAGCCATTGCACCCGGCCAATCAGGCAGGTCTTGAATTCCTGGGCTCAAGAGATCTGCCCACCTCACTCTCCGAAACTACTGGGATTACAGGCATGAGCCACCACGCCCAGCTATTTTTTTGCTTTTTGCTTCCTGATCTTTGTGATGTCTCAGCAGAGTAGCATTTTTTAATCTTTTTCTAGGAAAAAATATCTTGGGTTCAACTGGGGTGGGATCTCAGTCCTCATCGCGATCTCACATGTCTGTGTGAAGAGACCACCAAACAGGCTTTGTGTGAGCAACAAGGCTGTTTATTTCACCTGGGTGCAGGCAGGCTGAGTCCGAAAAAGGAGTCAGCAACGGTGGTGGGATTATCATTGTTCTTATAGGTTTTGGGATAGGCAGTGGAGTTAGGAGCAATGTTTTGCAGGCAGAGGGTGAATCTCATAAAGTACATTCTCAAGGGTGGGGAGAATTACAGAGAACCTTCTTAAGGGTTGGGGGGAGATTACAAAGTACATTGATCAGTTAGGGTAGGGCAGAAACAAATCAATGGTGGAATGTCATCAGTTAAGGCTATTTTCACTTTTTTTGTGGATCTTCAGTTGCTTCAGGCCATCTAGATGTATACGAGCAGGTCACTGGGGATATGATGGCTTAGCTTGGGCTCAGAGGCCTGACATTCCTGTCTTCTTATATTAATAAGAAAAATAAAACGAAATAGTGGTAAAGTGTTGGGGTGGCAACAATTTTTTGGGGTGGTATGGAGAGATAATGGGCGATGTTTCTCAGGGCTGCTTCGAGCGGGATTAGGGGTTGGTGTGGGAACCTAGAGTGGGAGAGATTAAGCTGAAGGAAGATTTTGGGGTAAGGGGTGATATTGTGGGGTTGTTAGAAGGAGTGTTTGTCGTATAGAATTATTGGTGATGGCCTGGATGCGGTTTTGTATGAACTGAGAAACTAAACAAAAGAGTGGCTGCCAGGTGAGTTGAACAGTCTGATTTTCATTGGGGGTCCTTCACAGATGGGACATGGCTTAGGAGGAATCCCGGGCTGCGGGCATTCCTTGGCCCGGTGGCCAGATTTCCAAAACTTGTAGCAAGCTCCTGGGGGAGGAGGTTCTGGAGGAACCCCTGGCAGCTGCGGTTCAGGCGTTTGGAGTTCTTGTGTTCTGGAGATGTGGCTGGGGTTTGTCTCACGGTGGAGGCAAGGAATTGCAACTCAGAAATACATTGCTACGTGGCTGCCTCTACTCTTATTATTGTACACCTTGAAGGCGAGGTTAATTAAGTCCTGTTGTGGGGTATGAGGGCCGGAATTTAATTTTTGGAGCTTTATTTAATGTCAGGAGCAGATTGGGTAATAAAATAAAATGCATTTTGAGAATAAGACGGCATTGTGACCTTTCAGGGTCTAGGGCTGTAAAACATCTCAGGATTGCTGCCAAATGGGCCATGAACTGGGCTGGGTTTTATATTTGATGAAAAAGAGCCTAAACGCTAACTGATCTGGGAGAGGTCGGATAAAGAAAAAGGAGCATTAACCTTGACTGTGCCTTTAGCTCCAGCCACCTCTTTAAGAGGAAACTGTTGGGCAGATGGAGGAGGGCTAGTCACGGAAAGAAACTGTAAGCTGGACTGGGTGTGAGGAGGGGAGGTAATAAAAGGATTATAGGGTGGAGGAGCAGAGGCTGAGGAAGAATTGGGACCTAGCTCGGCCTGGTGAGGAGCAGCCTGGGAAGGAGGGGAGAAGTCAGATGGGTTTGTAGAAAAGGAAGATTCAAGACTCAGCAACGCTTGGGGTTGGAACTGAGGGGACAGGCAGGAGGGAAAGAAGGAAGATTTGGGATGAACTGCATTGGGAACAGAGACTAGGGAGGGACCGATGTATAAAAGAATGCCTGAACGTCAGGCACCTCAGACCATTTGCCCATTTTATGACAAGAATTATTTAGATCTTGTAGGATGGAAAAATTGAAAGTGCCATTTTTTGGCTATTTGGAACCACTGTCTGGTTTGTATTGGGGTCAAGCGGCATTGCAGAAGAAAATAAGACATTTAGGTTTTAGGTCAGGCGAGAGTTGAAGAGGTTTTAAGTTCTTGAGAACACAGGCTAAGGGAGAGGAAGGAGGAATGGAGGGTGGAAGGTTGCCCATAGTGAAGTAGGCAAGTTTAAAGAGAAGGGTAGAGACACGGAGAGAAGGGGTGGGGGATGCTTATCCCCCAGGAAAGTGGAGAAGGGATGGGAGGTGCTTGCCCCCCAGGAAAATGGAAACGGGGTGGGGGGTGCTTGCCCCTCAGGAAAGTAGAGAAGGGGTAGAGACACGGAGAGAAGGGGTAAGGTGAGCAGCCAAAGCAGGCGTCCCTGCAATTGACTTGCCACCAAGGGATGTGGGTGAATGACCAAGGCAGGTGTCCCCGCGGAGATCAGACACAAATGGAATGTGGGTGAATAATCAGGCAGTCGTCCCCGCAATGATTAAACACCAAGGGAAGGCTGCCTTCCCAAGTCCGTGACCGGCGCCAGAGTTTTGGGTCCACGGATAAAATGTGTCTCCTTTGTCTATACCAGAAAATGAAAGGAATTTAAATTAAGAGAAGGGAGAGATTGAAGGATGGTGCCAAGATTGAAAGGAGAAAGAGGTTGAGGGATAGTGAGAGAGGTTGGAGAAGGAGTAAAAGAGGCCACTTACCCAATTTAAAATCAGTGAGATGTTCCTTGGGCTGGTTGGTCTGCGGACCTGAGGTTGTAGGTGGATCTCTTCAGGGAGTGAAGGTGAGGACAGGGGACTGCTGTCCCGAAGGAGTCCCGCTGACCCGGGTCTTCGGCACCAAATGTCTCATGCGTCCGTGTGAAGAGACCACCAAACAGGCTTTGTGTGAGCAACGAGGCTGTTTATTTCACCTGGGTGCAGGCGGGCTGAGTCCAAAAAGAGAGTCATCAAAGGGTAGTGGGATTATCATTGGTTCTTATAGGTTTTGGGATAGGCGGTGGAGTTAGGAGCAATGTTCTGTGGGCAGGGGTGGATCTCACAAAGTACATTCTCAAGGGTGGGGAGAATTACAAAGAACCTTTTTTTTTTTTTTTTTGAGACGGAGTCTGGCTCTGTCGCCCAGGCTGGAGTGCAGTGGCTCTTTCTCGGCTCACTGCAAGCTCCGCCTCCCGAGTTCAAGCCATTCTCCTGCCTCAGCCTCCGGAGTAGCTGGGACCACAGGCGCCCGCCACTACGCCCAGCTAATTTTTTTTTGTATTTTTAGTAGAGACAGGGTTTCACCGTGTTAGCCAGGATGGTCTTGATCTTCTGACCTCGTGATCTGCCCGCCTCGGCCTCCCAAAGAGCTAGGATTACAGGCTTGGGCCACCGTGCCCGGCCTACAAAGAACCTTCTTAAGGGTGGGGGAGATTACAAAGTATATTGATCAGTTAGGGTGGGGCAGAAACAGATCACAATGGTGGAATGTCATCAGCTAAGGCTATTTTCACTTCTTTTGTAGATCTTCAGTTGCTTCAGGCCATTTGAACGTATATGAGCCGGTCGTAGGGGATATGATGGCTTAGCTTGGGCTCAGAGGCCTGAAAATCGCCCCCACCAATCACCTGTTTCCCCCAATCTACCCTCCTGAAGGTCACTGACAAAGACTTCATTGTCTCCTAGGAGAGGCTGCCATATATCCAGGGCTGACGTAATTCCATCTTAATATCAGTTACATTATAAAAATTTACCTCGTGCCTGAGGCCCCAGAGCCCAAGGGTGCAAAGCAGTAATTGGTCAAAGTTCAACTTCCCTCCCACTCTGGGCTCAGGCTGTCCCCTGAGGGCCTGTGTTTTGAGTCTCTTTCCAGAACCTTGGTGTGAACTTAGGTCTTGGCGTCGGGATCCCTTTTCGTCACACTCAGGTGACCTACAGGGAGCTCCGCTCGACACTGCAAGGCTTAGACCAGTTCGGTCCAACAGAGAAAGCAGGCAACCACCATGTCATTTGAAAACAGTTTCATCGGGATATAATTCGCAACCCATACAGTGAATCCATTTAAGGTGTGTAAGTCAAAAGTTTTTCGTGTATTACCTTATGTTTATTTATTTATTTATTTATTTATTTATTTATTTATTTTGAGATGGAGTCTCGCTCTGTCCCCCAGTCTGGAATGCAGTGGCACTATCTCGGCTCACTGCAAGCTCCGCCTCCCGGGTTCACGCCATTCTCCTGCCTCAGCCTCCCCAGTAGTAGCTGGGACAACAGGCGCCCACCACCACGCTTGGCTAATTTTTTGTATTTTTAGTAGAGACGGGGTTTTACCATGTTAGCCAGGATGGTCTCGATCTCCTGACCTTGGGATCTGCCCACCTCAGCCTCCCAAAGTGCTGGGATTACAGGTGTGAGCCACCGAGCCCAGCCTTTTATTTTATTTTTTTAAGACAAGGTCTTGCTCCATCACCCAGGCTGGGGTTAAGTGGCATGATCACAGCTTGCTGCAGCCTCAAACTTCCAGACTAAAGCAATTCCCCCAAGTAGCTGGGACTACAGGCGCATGCCACCTTGCCCGGCAAATTTTTGTATTTTTAGTAGAGTTGGGATTTTGCCATGTTGCCCAGGCTGGTCTTTTTTTAAAAAAATTATTTATTTATTTATTTTTGAGATGGAATCTTGCTCTGTCACCCAGGCTGGAGTGCAGTGGCATGATCTCAGCTTACTGCAACCTCTGCCTCCCAGGTTCAAGTGATTCTCATGCCTCAGCCTCCCGAGCAGCTGGGATTACAGGCATGAGCCACCACACTCGGCTTATTTTTGTATTTTTGGTAGAAACAGGGTTTCACCATGTTGGCCAGGCTGGTCTCAAACTCCTGACCTCAAGTGATCCACCTGCCTCAGCCTCCCAAAGTGCTGGGATTACAGGCATGAGCCACCAAACCCGGCTATTATTTATTTATTTATTTTTGAGACACAATCTCCCTCTGTCACCCAGGCTGGAATGCAGTGGTGTCATCTTGGCTCACTGCAACCTCTGCCTCCTGGGTTCAAGTGATTCTCGTGCCTCAGCCTCCCAAGTAGCTGGGACTACAGGTGTGCACCACCACACCCAGCTAATTTTTGTATTTTTAGTAGAAATGGGGTTTCATCATGTTGGCCAGGCTGGTCTTAAATTCCTGACCTCAGGTGATCTGCTCACCTCGGCCTCCCAAAGTGCTGGGACTACAGGTGTGAGCCACTCTGCTCGGCCGGTCAGCTCATATATTACCTGCAAAACCCAGTCCCATTGTACCTTTCTCTGGCTGAGTCATGGATTCAAGCCTTGCCTCAGTGACATGGGAAGCAATGATGACCGGCTATGCCTTCTCCCCTGCCTCCAGGGCACTTGTATTTCAGTAGACTGGGGAAGACTTCGGGGATTCCAGGAAAGGTCTTGTCTAATAGGTAGAAGGAAGTGGACTCTGGGACAAGGTCCCTTTGTTCAAACACCAGCTGTGCTGATTTTTGCTGTGAGTCACTTGGTCTCAGTTTTCTCATCTGTGAAACAGGAATAATAGCAGCTCCTCTCAGGACTCATGGCCCGGAGCTTTGGTAAGCAGGAGATTGTCATCAATGACCCTCACTCCTCTCTCCTCTCTTCCCAGATACTCTGACCCATGGATCCCCTGGGTGCAGCCAAGCCACAATGGCCATGGCGCCGCTGTCTGGCCGCACTGCTATTTCAGCTGCTGGTGGCTGTGTGTTTCTTCTCCTACCTGCGTGTGTCCCGAGACGATGCCACTGGATCCCCTAGGGCTCCCAGTGGGTCCTCCCGACAGGACACCACTCCCACCCGCCCCACCCTCCTGATCCTGCTATGGACATGGCCTTTCCACATCCCTGTGGCTCTGTCCCGCTGTTCAGAGATGGTGCCCGGCACAGCCGACTGCCACATCACTGCCGACCGCAAGGTGTACCCACAGGCAGACACGGTCATCGTGCACCACTGGGATATCATGTCCAACCCTAAGTCACGCCTCCCACCTTCCCCGAGGCCGCAGGGGCAGCGCTGGATCTGGTTCAACTTGGAGCCACCCCCTAACTGCCAGCACCTGGAAGCCCTGGACAGATACTTCAATCTCACCATGTCCTACCGCAGCGACTCCGACATCTTCACGCCCTACGGCTGGCTGGAGCCGTGGTCCGGCCAGCCTGCCCACCCACCGCTCAACCTCTCGGCCAAGACCGAGCTGGTGGCCTGGGCGGTGTCCAACTGGAAGCCGGACTCAGCCAGGGTGCGCTACTACCAGAGCCTGCAGGCTCATCTCAAGGTGGACGTGTACGGACGCTCCCACAAGCCCCTGCCCAAGGGGACCATGATGGAGACGCTGTCCCGGTACAAGTTCTACCTGGCCTTCGAGAACTCCTTGCACCCCGACTACATCACCGAGAAGCTGTGGAGGAACGCCCTGGAGGCCTGGGCCGTGCCCGTGGTGCTGGGCCCCAGCAGAAGCAACTACGAGAGGTTCCTGCCACCCGACGCCTTCATCCACGTGGACGACTTCCAGAGCCCCAAGGACCTGGCCCGGTACCTGCAGGAGCTGGACAAGGACCACGCCCGCTACCTGAGCTACTTTCGCTGGCGGGAGACGCTGCGGCCTCGCTCCTTCAGCTGGGCACTGGATTTCTGCAAGGCCTGCTGGAAACTGCAGCAGGAATCCAGGTACCAGACGGTGCGCAGCATAGCGGCTTGGTTCACCTGAGAGGCCGGCATGGTGCCTGGGCTGCCGGGAACCTCATCTGCCTGGGGCCTCACCTGCTGGAGTCCTTTGTGGCCAACCCTCTCTCTTACCTGGGACCTCACACGCTGGGCTTCACGGCTGCCAGGAGCCTCTCCCCTCCAGAAGACTTGCCTGCTAGGGACCTCGCCTGCTGGGGACCTCGCCTGTTGGGGACCTCACCTGCTGGGGACCTCACCTGCTGGGGACCTTGGCTGCTGGAGGCTGCACCTACTGAGGATGTCGGCGGTCGGGGACTTTACCTGCTGGGACCTGCTCCCAGAGACCTTGCCACACTGAATCTCACCTGCTGGGGACCTCACCCTGGAGGGCCCTGGGCCCTGGGGAACTGGCTTACTTGGGGCCCCACCCGGGAGTGATGGTTCTGGCTGATTTGTTTGTGATGTTGTTAGCCGCCTGTGAGGGGTGCAGAGAGATCATCACGGCACGGTTTCCAGATGTAATACTGCAAGGAAAAATGATGACGTGTCTCCTCACTCTAGAGGGGTTGGTCCCATGGGTTAAGAGCTCACCCCAGGTTCTCACCTCAGGGGTTAAGAGCTCAGAGTTCAGACAGGTCCAAGTTCAAGCCCAGGACCACCACTTATAGGGTACAGGTGGGATCGACTGTAAATGAGGACTTCTGGAACATTCCAAATATTCTGGGGTTGAGGGAAATTGCTGCTGTCTACAAAATGCCAAGGGTGGACAGGCGCTGTGGCTCACGCCTGTAATCCCAGCACTTTGGGAGGCTGAGGTAGGAGGATTGATTGAGGCCAAGAGTTAAAGACCAGCCTGGTCAATATAGCAAGACCACGTCTCTAAATAAAAAATAATAGGCCGGCCAGGCACGGTGGCTCACGCCTGTAATCTCAGCACTTTGGGAGGCCGAGGAGGGTGGATCACGAGGTCAGGAGATCGAGACCATCCTGGCTAACACGGTGAAACCCCGTCTCTACTAAAAATACAAAAAATTAGCCAGGTGTCATGGCGGGTGCCTGTGGTCCCAGCTGCTCCAGAGGCTGAGGCAGGAGGATGGCGTGAACCCAGGAGGTGGAGCTTGCAGTGAGCTGAGATGGCGCCACTGCACTCCGGTTTGGGCGACACAGTGAGACTCCATCTCAAAAATAACAATAATAATAGGCCAGGTGCAATGGGTCACGCCTGTAATCTCAGCACTTTAGGAGGTGGAGGCGGGCAGATCACCTGAGGTCAGGAGTTGGAGACCAGCCTGGCCAACATGGTGAAACCCCGTCTCTACTAAAAATACAAAAATTAGCCTGGCGTGGTGACATGCGCCTGTAATCCCAGCTACTTGGGAGGCTGAGGTACGAGAATCACTTGAACCCAGGAGGTGGAGGTTGCAGTGAGCCAAGATTGCACCACTGCATTCTAGCCTGGGTGACAGAGCAAGACTCCGTCTCAAAAAAAATATATATATATAAAATAAAATAAAGTAAAATAAAATTGCCAGGGGAGACCAAGACGTGGGTGGTGGTGGTGAATCCCAGGTGCTCTCTGAGCCTCAGATTCCCCATCTGTACAGTGGAGGTGCAGAGGTGCCTGTGATGCCTCCCTGATGCCCAGGTGGGAGGGTGGAGGGGCATAGGGTGGGGAGGGTGTGGGGGGCCTGAAGAGTCTCTACCAAACCCTCTGGTGACCCCGGGCCTGAGCCAGCCTTGCTGGGCCCATCACTCACCTGCCACCCACACCACACACCTGGGCCCCTCTCCCCACCACCTGGCTGCAAGCCACGGGTCCTGGGAGGGGGACGGGGCCCTCGGCAGGCCAGGCCAGGGCTTCCTAACAGGCTGGGGCAGGCCCAGTCCCCAGGGGGTAAGAGGTGTGGGGACAGGCTGCTCTGTCCTCTGACGCCCCTGGAGCCCCTGTGGTCTCCGCCTCTACCTCAGCTGATGTCAGAGTGAAGAGCTCCCTTTCCCAACTTCTCTTTCTCTGCCTCTGGAATTTCCTCTGAGGCTTAGAGGGACATGGAAACCCTCCCTGGGTCCCACGAGGGCAGAGGCCCAGCCACCTGGCCGATGTTGGGGGGCTCTGGCCTGCCCCCTCTGGAACCCCAGCACTGCCCTCAAACCCCCATTGCCTCCCTGTATGCCCCGGATCTCACATGTGGTTCATGGCACGCCCAGCCCGTGGGGCCTTCTCCCTCCTCCTGGGCACCAGCTGCCCTTGGCTCCCAGCCCTGGGCCCCAGGGGGAGAAAAATTTCCAGCAGGCTGGCAGCTCCATCTCCCACCCAGCCCTGGCCAGGGAAGGCACTGGAGGGTCCAGTGAGGGCCAAGACCCCAACGAGGTGCACAGATGGCCTAACTGCCCCTGCAAGCCTCAAGCAGGTCCTAGCTTGCCCTGAGCCTGAGGGAAGAGGTCCTCATGATACCCTACTCTGGGCTCTGGGCTCAGCTCCTTGGCAGGGAGGTCCCACCTGGCACTGGTATGGTGAGCCCTGCTCAGAGAGGACCAGGAAACCTCTCAAGTCACACAGCAGTTTCAGGATGAGCACACGTTCTCTCTGGCACCATCCCTGAGGTCAGCCCAAGGTCCTCCACCCTCCCTTTGCCCAGCGATCACATCGATGGAATGACTAGAGCCCTACTGTCCCTCACTAGAGACCTACCTTTGGATTTTGAATCCTTAAGAAACAACCCAGCTGGGGGCGGGGCGTGGTGGCTCACGCCTGTAATCCCAGCACTTTGGGAGGCCGAGGCGGGCGGATCACAAGGTCAGGAGATCGAGACCATCCTGGCTAACATGTCTCTACTAAAAATACAAAAAAAAAAAAAAAAATTAGCTGGGCGTGATGGCGGACGCCTGTAGTCCCAGCTACTTGGGGCAGGAGAATGGCGTGAACCCAGGAGGCAGAGCTTGCCATGAGCCGAGATCGTGCCACTGCACTCCAGCCTGGGCCACAGAGCGAGACTCTGTCTCAAAAAAAAAAAAGAAAAAAAAAGAACCCAGCTGGGCGGAGTGGCTCATGCCTGGCCTCTAATCCCAGTACTTTAGGAGGCTGAGGCAGACAGATCACCTGAAGTCAGGAGGTCAAGATCAGCCTGGCTAACATGGCGAAAACCAGCTCTACTAAAAAAATACGAAAGTTACCCAGTGCCGTGTCACGCGCCTGTAGTCCCAGCTACTCGGGAGGCTGGGGCATGAGAATCGCTTGAGCCCGGGAGGCATAGGTTACAGTAAACTGAGACTGTGCCACTGCACTCCAGCCCGAGTGACAGAGCAAGATTCCATCTCAAAAAAAAGAGAGAGATAGGGGTATCTCTGTTTTCCCTAGGCTGGTCTCAGACTCCTGGGCTCAAGCGATCTTCCTGCCTCTCCTTCCCAAACTGTTGGGATTACAGGTGTGAGTCACTGTGCATGGCCTCAGAAGTCTTTTTTTTTTTTTTTTTTTTTTGAGACAGAGTCTTGCACTGTCGCCCAGGCTGGAGTGCAGTGGCTCAATCTAGGCTCACTGCAAGCTCCGCCTCCCGGGTTCACACCATTCTCCTGCCTCAGCCTCCCAAGTAGCTGGGACTACAGGCACCCACTACCACGCCTGGCTAATTTTTTTGTATTTTTAGTAGAGACAGGGTTTCACCATGTTAGTCAGGATGGATGGTCTTGATCTTCTGATCTCGTGATCTGCCCACCTCGGCCTCCCAAAGTGTTGGGATTACAGGCGTGAGCCACCACGCCCGGCCCCCAGAAGTCATTTTTTTAATAAGTTACAGTCAACCTCACCAGTCAAGGAATGAGACATGAGTGGAATTAGGTTGCCACTTCTGGAGCTCTGGGAGACCCCAACCCCCTGGCCCATCCCTACCTCCCAGAACCTCACTGGTCTGGGCGTGGCTGGGCACTGAGATAGTAGAACTCAGGCAGCATGATGCAGCCTCCCAGAAATGATTTCTAGAACAGGGCAGTCGTGATACTTGGAGGCTGGGCTTTGAGCTCGGTCACCTTTGCACCCAGCTTGGGAGTGAGAGAGTTTAAGGTCATCCTCCCTCAAAACCAGTATTCCAGATCATTTCTCTCCATTCCAGGAAGTTTGCATAGCTCCCTGGACTTCTGCTTTGCACTGCCCTGCAGGAGTGGGTGGGGAAAGGAAGTGGCTTTGAGGCACACAGAGGGGCTTGGTGAGGCCACCGGAGGAAGCTTCTGCCACCAATATGGGACCTGTGCCCAGCCTACCAGAAGAGAGCATCTGAAAACATGTATCGACATGGTAACCCCTCTGCTTGAAGCCTCACATGGCTCCCTATTGCCTTGGTGCTGAACACCCTATGGCTGACCGTGGCCCAGCCTCTGCAACAGCTCTGCCTCCTCTCCAGTGGTGAAGACCCAGCCTGCTGAGACTCCTCCTGCAGTTCCTCAACATGCCTGCATTTCTGCTGCCTCAGGGCCTTTGCGAAGGTTGTTCCTTGTAACTGGAATGCCCTTCCATCCCTTTTTTATTCAAAAGGCTGCAATTTTAATTGAAGAAAGTTCCCTTCCAAGGTTCATGAGTTGCCTGACTTGCCCACCGGTTTCCTGCAAGATCCCTTGGCCTGGCACTTAGTGCTCAGGAAATATTTGGTGATGGGCCAACTGAGTGAGAAGGTGGGATCTGGTGGGAAGGAAAGCGGAAAGGTAGAAATTCTGCTCACTTCCTCATTCCCACCTCCCAAGGAACCCCTGGTGTCCCTGTGGAACCCGCTTTGGGAACCGGTGGTTCAGGTCAGCCTTTTCACTTTGTACTCAAAGCCACATCGCATTGAAGCCACAGGTGGGGCAAGGTCATGCATGACCTGAGTCTCCAAATCCCTTCACCCTGTTTGGTTCTGCAACGGGGATTAGGGGAGCCCCACGATTTGTTTTCAAAGGATGTCCGGGCTCCAGGACAGGATGCCCTGGGTCACCTGATGACAGGTGTGGTGGTTGGAAAGGGCCTGGTTTCAGCTCCGGGTACACTTCCTCCTTCCTTCTGCTGCGTGGTGTGGCCTCTTCCACGTCCTCAGAATCCAGCTGTTACTCCGTCCGCGGCCTCTCAGCTCTAGGGCCCTCTGCACACTGGCCCCCCCAGGTAAGGCCTCTTGTCCCACTTTCACCCCCAACCCGGATCGCATGGGTCCAGGGAAAGGCCTCCTGGCTCCGAGCCTCCTCCCCTCAGCCTCAGTCCTGTCTGCTGTAATTCAGAGTGCGGGTGGGCTGGCACAAGATCCCTGGGGGAGGGTCTGCAGGCTGTGCAGTGGCCTGGCATTTGGCCAGCAGCCCCTAGTCGCAGGCAGGGGTCTTTCTGGATGCACCGAGGTGGGCTGAGGATATGGGAGGTCTGGCTGATTTGCCAAACCAGGAGGAAGTGGGTGTCTGTCTGTCTCTCTTGCAGAGCTCTGCGGTAGAATCCCGTGCCCCCCGACCCCATCAGCAGCCTACACCCCTTCATCCTTCCTGGCCCCGGATTTTCTCTGCCTCTGCCACTCCCGGTGGTAAAAGAGGGCTTAGAATGCGGTTTGCTTTCTGGCTTTGTTTTTTTGCATCCTGATCTTTGTGGCGTGGATCGATCATTTTCCAGGGAAAGTACCTTGGGTGAGATCTCTCTCCTGGACTCCCGTTCCCCGTTTCCCCCAATCTCCCCTCCTGAAGGTCACCGGCAAAGACTTCACTGTCTCCTAGGAAGAGGTCGCCATAAACCCAGGGGCCACATGATAATATATTAATATTAAATGTATCTCTAAACATTAACCTTTCACTGGCAGCCCAAGAGCCCGACAGCACAAAGGAATACTTGGTTAAAATTCAACCTCCCTCCCAGTCCGGGCTCTGAGTGTCCCTCGAGGGCTGTCTCTTGAGTCTTTTTCCAGAACTTTGGTATGCGCTTGTGCTCTCAATCCCTTCTCATCACACCTAGGTCACCATGCCTGGAGCTCCGCTATGCACCATAAGGTTTAGACCAACTCAGTTTATTTATTTTATTTTATTTTATTTTATTTTTTTGAGACAGAGTCTCGCTCTGTTGCCCAGGCTGGAGTGCAGTGGCGCGACCTTGGCTCACTGCAAGCTCCGCCTCCCGGGTTCACACCATTTTCCTGCCTCAGCCTCCCGAGTAGCTGGGACTACAGGTGCCCGCCACCGCGCCTGGCTAATTTTTTGTATTTTTAGTAGAGACGGGGTTTCACCATGTTGGTCAGGACAGTCTCTAACTCCTGACCTCAGGTGATTCGCCCGCCTCCACCTCTCAAAGTGCTGGGACTACAGGCATAAGCCACCGTGCCTGGCCTTTAAAAAGTTTTATTGAGATATCTGACATTCTGTTTTTCATCCTAAATCTTGGCAATCTAGTGTGCATTTTACCCTCAGAAGACAATTCAGACATTCAATGTCTGTCATAACTACTCAATCTGTATTTAGTTTCCATAAAATGAGGCTGGGCGTGGTGACTCATGCCTGTAACCCCAGCACTTTGGGAGGCTGAGGTGGGCGGGTCAGTTGAGGTCAGGAGTTCGAGACCAGCCTGGCCAACATGGTGAAACTCCATCTCTACTAAAAAGACAGAAATTACCTGGGTGTGGTGGGGGGCGCCTGTAATCCCAGCTACTTGGGAGGCTGAGGCAGGAAAATCACTTTAGCCCGGGAGCTAGAGGTTGCAGTGAGCCAAGATCACGCCACTGTGCTCCAGCCTGGGTGACAGAGCAAGATTCCATCTCAGAACAAACAAACAAACATAAAAAGTACAGGTGAAGAAGTAGATTTGCCCATCCAAGATGTTCTGAAGGTACTCAAAAGTTTCCCAATTACTGCCTGTAATATCAGTCATTGCTTTTTTTCTTTTTGAGTATCTGTTTCTTGTGTGCTTTTTTGTGGTTTTTGTTTTCTGTGTTTTTATTTTTTGTTGTTATTTATTTATTTATTTATTTTGAGACACGGTCTCATTCTATTGTCTAAGCAGAAGTGCAATAGTGCAACCATGGCTTACAGCAGCCTTGAACTTCTGGGCTCCAGAAATCCTCCTGCCTCAGCATCCTGAGTAGCTGAGACTACAGGCCACCATGTCTGGCAAAATAATAATAATAAATAATAAAATTCGTTGTAGAGATGAGGTCTTGAGGTCTTGCTATGCTGCTCAGGCTGGTCTCAAACTCTTGGAATCAAGCGATCCTCCCACCTCAGCCGCCCAAAGCATTGGGATTATAGGTGTAAGCCATTACTCCCGGCCAGTATCTATTTTTAAGTTTAAATTAGCATTGGGCCGGGCGCCGTGGTGCACGCCTGTAATCCTAGCACTTTGGGAGGCCGAGGCAGGCAGATCACCTGAGGTCAGGAGTTCAAGACCAGCCTGGACAACATGGTGAAACCCCATCTCTACTAAAAATACAAAAATTAGCCAGGCATGATGGCACGTGCCTCTAATCCCAGCTACTCAGGAGGCTGAGGCAAGAGAATCGCTTGAACCCGGGAGGCGGAGGTTGCAGTGAGCTGAGATCGTGCCATTGCACTCCAGCCTGGGCAACAAAAGTGAAACTCCGTCTCAAAAAAGAAAAGAAAAGAAAAGAAAAGAAAAGAAAATTAACATTAGCCAGGCCGGGCACAGTGGCTCACAGATGTAATCTCAGCACTTTGGGAGGCTGAGGCGAGGCAGGTGGATCACCTGAGGTTAGGAGTTCAAGACCAGCCTGGCCAACATAGTGAAACTCCGTCTCTACTAAAAATACAAAAACTAGCCAGGCATGATGGTGCACACTTGTAGTCCCAGCTACTCGAGAGGCTGAGGCACGACAATCACTTGATCTCAGGATGTAGAAGTTGCAGTGAGCCAAGATCACACCACTGCACTCCAGTCTGGGCGACAGAGCAAGACTCCGTATGAAAAAAAAAATTAGCATTAACTATTCTGTTTTTCCGACAGCATGGTCACTTTTGAAGGGCTCATTGGCCACCAATTTTGATGCTGCATGTAGAGAACATTTCCGTCATCACAGAAAGTTGCTTTGTTTTTGTTGAGACGGAGTTTCACTCTCATCACCCAGGCTGGAGGGCAATGGTGCAATCTCGGCTCACTGCAACCTCTGTCTCCCAGGTTCAAGCAATTCTCTTGTCTCAGCCTCCCGAGTAGCTGGCATTACAGGCTCCTGCCACCATACCTGACTAATTTTTGTATTTTTAGTAGAGACATGTTGGCCAGGCTGGTCTTGAACTCCTGACCTCAGGTAATCCGCCCACCTCAGCCTCCCAAAGTACTGGGATTACAAGCATGAGCCACCAAGCCCGGCCCATCATCACAGAAAGTTCTGTGGGACAAGGTTATTCGGGAGATGTCAGCTCCATCTGCAAAGTCCTAGAGGAGTTTGGGGTGACATTAAGGTGGGGAGACTTTGGGGTCTGGATCAAAATGGCTCTAGTTGTGTGTACTCAGCAGGACACATAGGTGTCTCTCTGAGCCTTAGTTTCCTCATCTGTAGAATGGACAGCTGTAGGGCTGCAAGGAACAGAGAGGGGCAGGGCTGGGGTCTTGGATTTCTGTTCCCGAGGTCAGGATCTGGGGTCTGGAGGACTCTGTGACACCCTATGGGGGCGGGAAGGACCTAGGAATGGAGTGAGATTGGCCAGACCTTCAGACCTTCAAAGCTGAGGCTCAGTGGCCAGGCTCTGTTGAGGTTCACGGACACAGTCCCCTTATGTCTCTGGCTTTTTGCAGTGTCACGGGCATCCAGACGGGATCCAGTGCATCCTCTTTTAGAAGAAAGGCCTGTCTCCAGATCCCCGAGTCCCTCTAGCATCTCCCAGAAGGTGTCAGACGCAGCAGTGTCCAGGGAGCGGCAGCAGGTCCTTATCATGGTCCAAGGGTCCCTCCCAGCCTCCAAGTCTCACCCCATACATGAAAAAAGGTGGCCCCGGTTTCCCGCCACCTCCTCCACAGCACCATCTCTTTGAAGGTTTCCTCCTGTTTTTGTTTTTTTTTGTTGTTGCTGTTGAGACAGCGTCTCACTCTGCTGCCCAGGCTGCTGGAGTGGTGTGATCCAGGTGGCTCACTACTTCCGCCTCCCGGGTTCAAGCGATTCTCATGGCTCAGCTTCCCAAGTAGCTGAGAATACAGGCGCGCATGCCACCACGCCCAGCTAATTTTTGTATTTTTAGTAGAGACGGGGTTTCACCATATTGGTCAGGCTGGTCTCGAATTCGTGACCTCAAGCGGTCCACCCGCCTCGACCTCCCAAAGTGCTGGGATTACAGGCGTGAGCCACCACACCCGGCCTGAAGGTTTCTCTTTCTCTGGCTTCCCAGACCCAGTGCCCACACTCCGGGGGATTTGGGCCCTCCCCTGTCTCCCTCCAGCCCCCTGGGGCCAGTCCGCTGCTGGGTATCTCCAGGACGGGCCAGGCTCAGCAAGTTCCACCAAAGCCTGCTTCTCTCCTGGGGGTTCCCCATGTCTCTGGGTGGCCCCACTGCCCTCCTGGTCAGCATGTGAGTCCCCACGCCTGCCTATTCTCCCTCCTATCTGTCCCCACCTCTCCCCCAGCGTCAGCCTACCAGAGGAGTAACCTTTGGGTGCTTGTTGAAAGAAACCCTGAGTGAATATTTCTATTCTCTCTTTTTTTTTTCTTTTTGAGACAGGGTCTCGCTCTGTCACCCAGGTTGGAGTGCAATGGTGTGATCTTGGCTCAATGCAACCTCTGCTTCCCAGGTTCAAGTGATGCTCATGTCTCTGTCTCCCGAGTAGCTGGGACTACAGGCATGTGCCACCATGCCCAGCTAATTGTTGTATTTTTAGTAGACATGTGGGTTCTCCATGTTGACCACACTGGTCTCAAACTCTTGACCTCAAGTTATCCGCCCTCCTCTGCCTTCCAAAGTGCTGGGAATACAGTCGTGAGCCAATGCACCCGGCCCTGAGTGCTTATTGAATGAAACCCCGAGTGAATATTTCTTTCTTTTTTTTTTTTTTGGAGATGGAATCTCATTCTGTGTCCCAGGCTGGAGTGCAGTGGTGCCATCTTGGCTCCCTGCAACCTCCTCCTCCCGGGTTCAAGTGATTCTCCTGCCTCAGGCTCCTAAGTAGCTGGGATTACAGGTGCCCGCCACCACGCCCAGCTAATTTTTGTATTTTTAGTAAAGATGGGTTTCACCGCGTTGGCCAGGCTGGCCTCGAACTCCTGACCTCAAGTGATCCACCTTCAGCCTCCCAAAGTGCTAGGATTATAGGCATGAGCCACCGTGCTTGACCCAAGTTAATATTTCTTTTTTTTTTTTTTTCCAAGATAGAATTCCATTGCCCAGGCTGGAGTGCAGCGGTGCGATCTCGGCTCACTGCAACCTCCACCCCCCAGGTTCAAGCAATTCTCCTGCCTCAGCCTCTCAAGTAGCTGGGATTACAGGCACACGCCACCACGCCCGGCCAATTTTTGCATTTTTAGTAGAGATGGGGTTTCACCACGTTGGCCAGGCTGGTCTCTTGACCTCGTGATCTGCCCGCCTCGGCTTCCCAAAGTGCTGGGATTACAGGCATGAACCACCGCGCATGGCTGCCATTACTTTCAATGGTAAAAACAGCAATTACTTTTGCACCAATCTAATATGAACTCGACACTGGCAGCCCTGAGTACTTCCTTTGCTTTCTCTGCAAACTGCTCAGGGGTCTCTCCCCACTAGGCCTTGGCAATGGTGGTTTCCTCTGCCAGGAGCACCCTTTCCCACAGGTCTACTCTATCTGGTGAGCTCTTATATTACCTCCAAAACCCAATCCCATTGTGCCCTTCCCCAGCAGAGTCATGGGTTCAAGCCTCGACTCAGGGGCACTGGGGGGCATTTATGATCGGCTGTGTCTTCTCTCCAGATTGAGGAAGAGTCTGGTGACACACCAGAAAAGGACAGGATCAAGGTGGGACCTGAGGGCCCTTGGGGCCTCTCCCAACTTCCCCAGGGACCCTTGCCCATGTAGAAAGGGCCTGTTGTCTAATGGGTGGGAGGAAGTGGACTCTGGGCCAAGCTCCCTTTGTTCAAACACCAGCTGTGCTGACTTTTGCTGTGAGTCACTTGGTCTCAGTTTTCTCATCTGTGAAACAGGAATAATAACAGCTCTTCTCAGGACTCATGGCCTGGAGCTTTGGTAAGCAGGAGATTGTCATCAATGACCCTCACTCCTCTCTCCCCACTTCCCAGAGACTCTGACCCATGGATCCCCTGGGCCCGGCCAAGCCACAGTGGTCGTGGCGCTGCTGTCTGACCACGCTGCTGTTTCAGCTGCTGATGGCTGTGTGTTTCTTCTCCTATCTGCGTGTGTCTCAAGACGATCCCACTGTGTACCCTAATGGGTCCCGCTTCCCAGACAGCACAGGGACCCCCGCCCACTCCATCCCCCTGATCCTGCTGTGGACGTGGCCTTTTAACAAACCCATAGCTCTGCCCCGCTGCTCAGAGATGGTGCCTGGCACGGCTGACTGCAACATCACTGCCGACCGCAAGGTGTATCCACAGGCAGACGCGGTCATCGTGCACCACCGAGAGGTCATGTACAACCCCAGTGCCCAGCTCCCACGCTCCCCGAGGCGGCAGGGGCAGCGATGGATCTGGTTCAGCATGGAGTCCCCAAGCCACTGCTGGCAGCTGAAAGCCATGGACGGATACTTCAATCTCACCATGTCCTACCGCAGCGACTCCGACATCTTCACGCCCTACGGCTGGCTGGAGCCGTGGTCCGGCCAGCCTGCCCACCCACCGCTCAACCTCTCGGCCAAGACCGAGCTGGTGGCCTGGGCAGTGTCCAACTGGGGGCCAAACTCCGCCAGGGTGCGCTACTACCAGAGCCTGCAGGCCCATCTCAAGGTGGACGTGTACGGACGCTCCCACAAGCCCCTGCCCCAGGGAACCATGATGGAGACGCTGTCCCGGTACAAGTTCTATCTGGCCTTCGAGAACTCCTTGCACCCCGACTACATCACCGAGAAGCTGTGGAGGAACGCCCTGGAGGCCTGGGCCGTGCCCGTGGTGCTGGGCCCCAGCAGAAGCAACTACGAGAGGTTCCTGCCACCCGACGCCTTCATCCACGTGGACGACTTCCAGAGCCCCAAGGACCTGGCCCGGTACCTGCAGGAGCTGGACAAGGACCACGCCCGCTACCTGAGCTACTTTCGCTGGCGGGAGACGCTGCGGCCTCGCTCCTTCAGCTGGGCACTCGCTTTCTGCAAGGCCTGCTGGAAACTGCAGGAGGAATCCAGGTACCAGACACGCGGCATAGCGGCTTGGTTCACCTGAGAGGCTGGTGTGGGGCCTGGGCTGCCAGGAACCTCATTTTCCTGGGGCCTCACCTGAGTGGGGGCCTCATCTACCTAAGGACTCGTTTGCCTGAAGCTTCACCTGCCTGAGGACTCACCTGCCTGGGACGGTCACCTGTTGCAGCTTCACCTGCCTGGGGATTCACCTACCTGGGTCCTCACTTTCCTGGGGCCTCACCTGCTGGAGTCTTCGGTGGCCAGGTATGTCCCTTACCTGGGATTTCACATGCTGGCTTCCAGGAGCGTCCCCTGCGGAAGCCTGGCCTGCTGGGGATGTCTCCTGGGGACTTTGCCTACTGGGGACCTCGGCTGTTGGGGACTTTACCTGCTGGGACCTGCTCCCAGAGACCTTCCACACTGAATCTCACCTGCTAGGAGCCTCACCTGCTGGGGACCTCACCCTGGAGGGCACTGGGCCCTGGGAACTGGCACCCATGGGGCCCCACCCATGAGTGATGGTTCTGGCTGATTTGTTTGTGATGTTGTTAGCCGCCTGTGAGGGGTGCAGAGAGATAATCACCGCACCGTTTCCAGATGTAATACTGCAAAGAAAACCAATGATGAGGCCGGGTGCGGTGGCTCACACCTGTAATCCCAGCACTTTGGGAGGCCGAGGCAGGCGGATCACAAGGTCAGGAGATCGAGACCATCCTGGCCAATATGGTGAAACCCGTCTCTATTAAAAATACAAAAATTTGCTGGGCGTGGTGGTGCATGCCTGTAATCCCAGCTACTTGGGAAGCTGAGGCAGGAGAATCGCTTGAACCAGAGAGTCGGAGGTTGCAGTAAGCCGAGATCGCGCCACTGCACTCCAGCCTGGCGACAGAGCGAGACTCTGTCTCAAAAAAAAAAAAAAAAAAAAAAAAAAAATTAGCTGGGTGCGGTGGCCGGTGCCTGTAATCCCAGCTACCCAGGTGGCTGAGACACAAGAATCGCTTGAACCCAGGAGGCAGATGTTGTAGGGAGCCATGATCGCACCACTGCACTCCAACCTGGGCGACACAGTGAGACTGTCTCAAGAAAAAAAAAAAAAAGGGGGAGTGTCCCTTTCTGAGTGTGCAATTCTGTGTGGAAGGTGACTGTGTAGGATCATGGGTCCTGCCTGCTGAGCCCTTATGGGTGGTGATCTCTGTGTCTTGTGAGTGTGCTTGTGTGTGTGTGTGAGAGAGACCCTCATCCGGTGTGCCGATGCGCTGATGACAACCGCAGCCCCAGGGAACTGCAGGGGCTTCTCGGTTTATTTATGTTCCAATTCCCTGGTGGGCTGGGCCCGCGCCCTGTGGTTGGGACGCTGGATCTGGGTGGGAGACAGGAAGGCCGAGGTCCGGGAGGCCCCGGAGGGTGGGCAACACTCACACACACATGCACACTGTGGCAGGGGAGCTTCGGGGGGGCGGCAGACCCCTGATGGTCAGCTTTCTCGCTGTGTGTCCTGGGCTGAACAACACTCCTCTCTGAGGCCAGGCCATCTAGGATGGGGAAACTGAGGCTCGGAGTAAGCGTCACTTGGGCTTCCGCAGCGTCTGGGAACTCCGGCCTCTCTGCGGAGGCCGGGCTGAGTCGGCCCAAAGGGTGGAGGAATCCACCACCTTAAACCTCAGAGTCAGAAGACTGCGGGGGTAGGCGGGGACCCCAGCCAGCGGCAGCCCTGAAACTGCTTCCCAAGCAGATCACCCGCCTGGCCGCCAAGCCCTGCTCTCAGGGCTCCCTGGAAGTCCTGCTGATTAGCCGCCTTGAGTGTCTCCAGCTGTAGCTGTGGGTCCCCGGGAGCCAGGGGCTAGGGATGTTCCTTCATGGCTGGGTGATTCTCCCTGGGGGCGGTTTCCGATCTGCGCCCTCCAGCTTTGCGGGGGGTGGGGGGATGCGGGCTGAGCCTGGGAAGGGACACTGTGGTTAGAGGGTGGTCCTAAGGGCAGACGTGTGGGAAGGAGGGGAGGGGGCCCAGCTAAGGAGAAGGGTTGTAGCCTTGGGAACCCCCAGTCTGAGGGGCAGGAGGGGAGGAGTCTCGCCTCGCCGGTGCCTGCTCTGGGCTCGCAGTGCCCGCCCCTTCCCCGCCCCTCAGACCGACCGTGGGACCCGCCGACCCCTCCCGCGCTCTGGCAACCCAACACCCGAGGCCTGCCAAGCATCAAGGTGACACCGTGGGGAAATCTAAACACCGAGCCGGGCTTTTTCCATACTCCGCAGGGGCTCGTCGTAAATCCCCCCCGTGGAGGCCCGGCCAGGGCTTTTATGGGCCGAGGACCCAGGTCTCTGGGGACCCAGCTCTACACCAGCAGGCGCCGGCTTCGGGCTGGATGGGGCTGGCGCCCGCCCCAGGCCTCTCCCCGCCGGGAGGTGGGCAGCGTGCGGGTATTTTTAGTAGCTGGTGGAAGGAGATAGTGGCTTTCAGCTCACCCTGGTGGGCGAAGACCGGCCCGAGGAGGCCGTCGGATAAGGGAGGCCCAGGTCCACCTGGACCTCACTCTCCTCACCCCCAGAGTGGCTCCCCCTTCCTAGAAACCCACATAGCGGGATCAGTGCGGACAGGGAGACGCTGGGGAACTGATTCCACCTGGATCTCAGGCTCCTCACCCACAGTGTCTCCCCCTTTCCCCCTCTCCAGAAGTCCACACAGCAGAGAGGTGCAGTCAGGAACAAGCTGGGGAAACTGGGTCCACCTAGACCTCAGTCTCTTCATCCCAGAAGCGAGAGGTGCAGTCAGCGACAATCTGGGGAAACTGGGCCCACCTAGACTTCAGTGTCTTCATCCCAGAAGCCCGCACCGCGGAGAGGTGCGGAAGGGAACAAGCTGGGGAAACGGGGTCCACCTAGACCTCGGTCTCTTCATCCGAGCGTAGCTTCCCTTTCCCCTCCCCAGAAGCCCACACAGCGAAGAGGTGCGGACCGGAACACGCTCGGGACGGGCAGAGGGACCCGTAGGGAGGCAGGAAGGACGGTCCCTGCCAACATAGCCCCATTCACCCCATTTTCCTTTTTGTCCGCCATAAACTGGACCCACTTTGCATCTACCCTTCCCCCAAAGCAAACAGCATCCTCCCACTACCCTGCAGCTGGGCCCCCCCCACTGGTCCCCGCTTTCCCGGTGGAGACGGCGACGTGGCCCACACGCGAGCCCCTCGCCGAGGATGAATCACCAGCCAGCTCGAGTTGCCACACTTTATCTCAGTACAGTTATCGCGAGAGTCCCGGGGCCGCGCCGGCGTGCTCTACGCACGCGCAGTCTTTCGCGGGGCCGGCCAGTGGTGCCGTCGAGGCGGGGGGAGTGGCCGCCGCGCCGGCCGAGTGAGGTAGGGTCACACGCAGGCGCACTCGCGCGCCGACAGCTCGTGCACCGTGTGGTAGCGGCTGTGCGCGTCCAGGAAGGACACCTCGTCCTCGTAGGCCGTCGGGCGGCAGCAGGGCTGCGCGCGCACCCGCTCCCGCCGCAGGCGCCGCCGCTGGCGCAGTCGTCGCAGCCCGAGGTCGTAGACGCGCGCGGCAGCCTCGCAGGCGCCTGCGCAGTAGCGGAACAGCACCGTCTCGTCGGACGCGTAGCCCAGGCCCAGCTCGCTCACGCGCACCTCCAGCTCGCGCAGCCCGCAAGGCCGCGCCCCCAACCGCGCACGCGCGCGCCGCCGCCGGGGCCCCGCCCGACGGCGCGGACCTGGGGGCCGCCCAGCCCAGGGCGTCAGCTCGCGCAGCTCCATCGCATCCGGGGCCCCCTGCAGGAGTGCACGGTCTGCGAGGGGAGGAAGAGAAAGGAGGGGGGGTCAGTGGGTGCAGGGGGTGGGAGGGAGCCCCCTACCCTCTCTGTACCCCTGCAAACGAAGACCCTTGCTGGGACGCCAGGCCTAGACGGCTTCTCGTCTCACTCCCAGGTCCCAAATTTCCCCACCCTCTTGCTGAGCTGCTCATGCACCCTCTCTGGGCGGCACTGGGGGGCACGTACACACTCACACCCCTACGCTGGTCCAAAACCCCTTTCTGAACCCTGAGCCTATATTGGCTGCCCAGAACCTGGTCCATCCTTTCTGGGCCGCTTTCCAGCCCGTCTCACCTTGAGCTGAGCTGACCGGGGTCTCTAACTCACCTCCTCTGGGCCCCTCTCTCACCCCATTGCTGCTCCATTCTCCTCGTCCTCCATCGCAAATCTATCTGGACCCCGCCCCTATGCTGGGCTGCCCCAGGACACTGGTGCATCCTCTCTGGGCAGCACTGGGGGGCTGCTTCCCATGCCCTATCCCTCTTTAGTGAGGTTGTCATAGGTCTCTAGAGCCCCCTCTTCAGGCCCCGACGTCTGCTCTGAGGCCCCGGGCTTTTCAGACTCCCTCCATCCCCACTGCCCCGCTGTGCAGTGGAGCCTCAGTTTCCCTATCCAAGAAATGAATCGGGGTGTTTGGGTTTCTCAGAATGCAGAGGAGCAGCAGGTACCGCAGCCTACTGCATCCGAAGCCTGTGTGGGGACCCCACTCCATGGAGTGGCAGCAGCTACTGTCAAGGCCACCCCCATGTGACAGGTGACAAAACGGACCATCCCAAGGTCACATCATTAGCAGGTGGCCGAGAGAGAGCGACAGAGGCGGGCTTAAAGGTCATTCTTCCTGCCTTCATCGTTCACCCAAGTTTGGCCCAGGTCCAGCCGCTTTCTCCCACACTCGCCAGGAGGTGCCCAAGTCACCGATTCCCAGGGCCTGGCAGCCTAAATTTATTACCCAAGCGGTGGCTCCACCCCCAAACTCGGAAGCCCCGGGAGAGAACTGCAGACGCTGGAATGACAGGCAGCGCTGCTGGCGGACCTGCAGGCAGGGGACTCCCAGCCCCAGAGCAGGTGGCAGTCACGCTTGTGGTTGGGAGAGGAAATCTTTAGTCCCCACCTGCCCCCCGGGCTGGTGCACCTGGCTGTCAAAAGAATGAGCCTCTGGGTGGCCCTGGGGAAGGAGGGGCTGTCTGTCTCCTGGGGTTTGGTGGGGGAGGAGATGTCTGTTCCCACAGGGGGTCTCAGAAACGAGACAAACCCAGCCTCAGAGCATGACTCTGCCACTTTCGCCACTTGCAACCTCAGGCCTCAGTTTCCCTGTCTGTCCCATG